>NC_000020.11:4005728-4157244 GCF_000001405.40 Homo sapiens | reverse complement strand
AACAACCCAGCCACCCTAGGAGGGAGGTAATATTACCCTCATGGTACAAATGAGGGAACGGAGGCACAGAGAGGCTTAGCTTATTGTCCAGAGTTCACAACCCTGCTGTGTTAACCTCTGAGATGAAAGGCTGGGGAGAACTTGCAAAGCGAGGAAATGCCCGGGAGGTATAAGGAAAAGGCCCTCTCAGAATCCAGAAGATGGCCGGGCACAGCGGCTCACATCTGTAATCCTAGCACTTTGGGAGGCCAAGGTGAGCAGATCACCTGAGGCCAGGAGTTCCAGACCAGCCTGGGCAACACGGTGAAACCCCACCTCTACTAAAAACACAAAAATTAGCAGGGCGTGGTGGTGAGCGCCTGTAATCCCAGCTACTCGGGAGGCTGAGGCAAGAGAATTGCTTGAACCCAGGAGGTGGAGGTTGCAATGAGCTGAGATTGCGCCACTGCACTCCAGCCTGCGTGACAGAGTGAGGCTCCATCTCAAAAAAAAGAAAAAGAATCCAGAAGACCCAGGCCCAGCTACCTGGGGATCCCAGGCACCAGACAGGTCCTTCCAGATCCTTCCTCATTCACCCAGTGAGGCAGAGCCATTGCCACAAGAACCCAGGGCTGGCTCTCGGCCCAGAAATACCAGGGAGAAAAGGAAGGATGGCAGGGAGCTTCCTGGTAGAGGTGGGATGGGCACATCTGAGGGCCCTGGTCAGTTGAGGTCCCACCAGGCACTGGCAGGGGGGTAGCAGTTGCTACACCCAAAGGAAGGTGGGGAGGCAGACATGGGGGGCAAAGATTTACAGATGAAGAAACTGAGGCCTCAGAGGGGAGCCTGGCATCTCTCTCTCTGCAGTGCCCTCTTCTTCTACTGATTGTCCAAATGTGCCCATCCCACCAAGTCTACCTCTACCAGGAAGTCCACCTGTGCTACCATGTTCGTGGCCTTCCAGTGAGCAGCATCTTTCCACATCAGCTTTTCCCAGCAGGTGTTTTCCTGGTGGGTGGGACATTATTGGCAGTCATTTAAAAAAAAGATTTCCACGGTCAGATCAGGCTGGGAAACACTAAACAGTTTCTTTTCTACAGGACTTGTCAGGACCTTTAATTCTCTTAAATGTATTCTGAATCTCCCGTAGGGTAGTGGAGTGAATTTGCCAGTTTCTACCCTTATTTGTCCCCTGAACGCTTGAGATTGCGCAGAACAGTCTTTGAGAAATGTTATCCCCTCCCATCCCGCAGGACGGCCTGGCCCAGGGGCAGGGATCAAAGTGGGGTGTGATTGGCTTGGCCTTGCCCTCCTTTGAGGAGGTGTGTGTGGGATATCTGGGGAGCTCAGACTGAGAGCCAGTCAACCCCTACCCTGCCAGCCCCTCATGGCACTGCCCAGGGCAGTGGAACCTTTGCCCTTTGTGTCTGCCCTCTGTACCTTCTTTTGGGTGTAGTGACTGCTACCCCGCTTCCAGCAACTGGGGGGACTCAACCCACCAGTGTCCTCAGATACGCACCCCAGGCCATGTAGAGCCTGAGGTGCAAGGGGCCTTGGGAGACCCCCAAAACAACCCGGATGGTTTTTTCCAAGCAAATTGCTAATTCGACCCCATCATTAGCATGTGAGTTTTAATATTAACTTTAATATTTAATATTAAACTAAAATGTGTTAAGCTGACTCTCTGGGAAGAGGCAATGCCCCACCCAGCAAACCGTGTGATAACCCCCCTGGAGGGACCTGAACCCCTCAGTTTACAGATGAGGAGACTGACACCTCAGAGAGGAGCAGACACTTGCCTGTAGTGGCCCAGCCAGGGCAGAGCAGAGAGAAGCATCCAGGCCCCCCCCACTCCCACGTACGCCGCAGAGGTGGCCAGAGTGGGATAAGACCCCCGACAGCAGCTCATGTAACCATCAGTGACAGCAGCTCACGTAACCATCAGCGGCAGCAACAAGGACTTGGGCCAGGGTGACAGGCACTGCACACGCTGGGGTGATGGCCCGGCAGCTGGGGAGACTACCGTCTTCTATGAGGACACGTCACAGCTGGAGCTAGAGGGCCGGATCAGCTGTTTCCCCAATCTCTCGGCCCCGCCCTGGCTGGAGGAAGGGTGCTCACCCCAGATTGGTTGCCCACAGTGCCAGGCTCGGCTGTGGACAGAGATAAGGTGCCCTCCGTGCTGTCTGCATGTCACCCTGCCCCGGGATACAGTCACCCAAGATACCCCCTCGTGGTCTTGGGAGCTCCTTACAGTCAGAGGCCCTGGAAATCAGACCTATGTTCCTGGTCTATGACCCAAGCACCCAGAGGCCCTCACACAGCCCCAGCTCCCAGCAGAGTGGCCCCTGCATCTCACATCTTCTACAGTCCCCTCTGTCCTGCCCCCAGCCCACCTGCACCACCCCCACCCCCTACCCCGGCAGCTCCCTACACATCCCGCAACACAGGAGCCTCAGGAGCCAAGGTAGTTAGTTCCCTGTTCCACCCACCTGAACTGCACTCGTCCCTCAAGACTCCAGTCTAAATCCTTGCTATACAAAGCGTGCTCCATGGAGCAGCAGCATTGCACTGCCAAGGAGCTTATTAAAAATGCAGTCTCAGGCCAGGCACAGTGGTTCATGCCTGTAATCCCAACACTTTGGGAGGCTGAGGCAGGTGGGTCACTTGAAGCCAGGAGTTCGAGACCAGCCTGACCAATATGGTGAAACCCTGTCTCTACTAAAGATGGTGGTGGGCACCTGTAATCCCAGCTACTGCTACTCAGAAGGCTGAGGCAGGAGAATTGTTTAAATCCAGGAGGCGAAGGTTGCAGTGAGCCGAGATCCTGTCACTGCACTCCAGCTTGGACAACAGAGCAAGACTCCGTCTCAAAAAAAGAAAGAAAGAAAGAAAGAAATGCGGAGTCACAGGCCTCACCCCAGACCTGGTGAATCAGACAGGACAGACA
Organism: Homo sapiens; assembly: GCF_000001405.40. Lineage (NCBI taxonomy): Eukaryota > Metazoa > Chordata > Mammalia > Primates > Hominidae > Homo > Homo sapiens. The sequence continues at coordinate 4,154,315 of NC_000020.11, read as the reverse complement.
TGCATTTTAACAAGCTGCCTAGGTGATCTATGTGCATTCAAGTTTGAAAAGCACTTTTATAGACCACTGCCCTAATCAAGTAATTGCCCCCATGCCCTATAACCTTCAAAGGCTCCCCAGGGTCTACTGAATCAAGGCCAGACTCAGCAGCTTGGCAGCCAAGGCCTTTCCCAACCTGGCTTCAACCCACTTCTCCTCCTCCACCTTAGGAAGGCCATCCTCTCCTCTGTCGGCCAAAGCCGCCCAAGATTTCAGAACCCTCCCAAAGCACCACCTCCTCTGGGAGGAGGACCTCATTATATCACACCTGGCATGGCTCACGTTTATTTCCTGGAGAGCAGGAACCGTGTCCTGTGTTCCCAAAGGCTCTGAACACCAGGCTGGGGCACAGGAGATGCCAGGTGCTGACCACAGCTAACAAGGCCCAGTGTCTACTTGTCAGGAAGTCCACCTCAGCTCTAGCCTGCCCGCCTCAGGCTTGGCCACAGCCTTCACTTCGACTCAGCAGACAAGGACTTGGGCACCGTGGACAGGCCTCCCCCATGCTCCCCTGCCAGAGAAGGGAGCCCTTCCTGACAACCATGAAGGCTGGTGAGCTTCCAACAGCAATGTTTTCCCTGTGCCTCAGTTTCCACTAACCCTGCCTCCCTCTCTTCCTAGGAGGCTGGCAGGATCTGTCCAGATAGATGAGCAGATCCCCTCAACTCTGGGGCTCAGAATTCAGAGAAAACAGACCCCATCCCTGTGTGGTCAGCAAACCGTTCCTCAGCCAGCCAGCCAGGTCCCTGGGAGGCCAGGTCACCTGCCTAGAGTCATCCTCGTGCCAAACAGGAAAGCCTCCCAGGGCAGAGCTGACACACCCTCCTCCCTCCTTCCTGGCCCAGTTCCTCAGCCTGGCATCCCAGGGGAAGCCTTTCCTCCTTTCAGAGTCTACAAGGAGAAGGCACTCAAGCATGTGACCTCCAGGGAGCAAAGAAAAAAAGTCCCTCTAATCCCATTTTACAGGCAGATGACGAGGGCAATGCTAAACCCAGAAGGGTGACATTCTAATGATGGCATCTCAGGCAGAAAGCGGTAGCTGAACCAGAAGCAGCAGACCTTCCCAGCACCCCAAAATCACAGTGTACGTGATGCCCAACCCATTGGCCTGGGTCCGGAGCCCCTCCTGGAAGAAAAAGTGGGGCATGAAGCAGAAAAATTCGGTCACCCACTCCAAGCGAGGACCCCTTCTACCTTCTTTCCCACCTCCCCAGCCCCTAAGGCCAGGCACCTCTGGGAGGCAGGAAAAGCCTCTTCTTAGGAAGCCCTCGGCTGACACATAACTGAGAGGCATGAGAGAAGTGGCAGAGTGGACCGATTTCAAGCATGGATTCTGGAGCCAAGTTGTTTGGATTCAATCCTTACTCTGTTATTATTTAGTTGTATGACTATGACTCAGTCCTCCCGTCTGTAAAATGTTTGGATTCAATCCTCATTCTGTCACTATTTAGCTGTATGACTGTGCCTCAGTCTTCCCAGCTGTAAAATGGGAATAAGACCTACCTTATAGAGCTGTTAAGAGCATTAAAGGAGTTAACATTTGCAAAGTGCTTAGAACAATGCAGGGCATGCAGTGAATATACCAGGGCCCTGCCCTGCCTCTTGGCCTCTGCTTGATTCCTCCCACCCAGGATGCCCTCCTCATCCCTACCTATCCCAGCTCAAGGTCTTTCCTAGGCATGCCAGCCCCATCCCAGATCTGGACCACTGCCCCTAGTTCTAGCACCCACGTCGCGGTGTTACCTCAGTCCACCCCTGTCCCCCTGTCCAGGGGTCAGCTCCCCTCCCTCCCAGATCTGAGGTCCCCTGGCTCTCAGCCTTCCATTCTGAGAGTACCAGCCACACAATTTAACACTCAACTGGCTCCTCTGTGCAAACAGGAGAGCTGTGGGTAGAAAGGCAAGAGTCTAGAGATAGAGAGAGACCACCCCAGGGCTGGGTACCCAGCAGTCACCCAAGAGAGTGGGCTGAAATCAATCCCTGGCTGCCCAGGCTGCCCACATCTTGTGAGCTAGAGAATCTCCCTCCCACCCAACATGCACACATATCCCTCTGCTGACCCAGCTTGCATTTCTACCAAAGAAAGCAAAGGAAATCATTTACCCCAACCACAGTGACACACACACAGACTCACATCCCACCGGCTGCCCTCGGCATACAGCCCTGCCCTCCAGCCACGCATACCTTCTCCACTTCCCTTTTTCACATCCCATTGGCGCCCTTAGATTCTTGCAGCAATCTGCACAGTTGCTTTTGTGGAAAGAAAATAAAAATCCTCAGGGTCACTTGAAGTTTAAAGAGGACTCCTGTGCTCACTGCAATACCCACCTCTCTGCCCAATCCAGCCCCAACCTGCCACCTGGCTGAAGATTTCCTGGGCATCAGCTACATGCCAGGCACTGTGCTAGATGCTCCAGATACAGCACTGGTCCATTCAGTCAAGGTTCCGGCCCTTAAGAAGCCAGATAAGTCAAGTATACAAACAATTGTAACAAATGGTTGTGAACTGTGATAAATATAATATAGAAAATAAGTCAGGTGCTACGATTAATTACGGGGGACTTCCCAAGACTGGGAAGGCATTTGAGGAAGGTATAATTAAGTGAAGACCTTAAAAATAAGAAGGAGAAAAGCCAGGCCAGTAAAGGGCACTGGAAAACACTCCTGGCAGAAAAGATAGCACAAGCAAAGGCCGTGGGGCAGGAGAAAGCTTAGGTTGTCCAAAGGGCAGAAATGATTCAGATGTGTCTGTCAGGGAGAATGCAAAGGGGACAGTGGTCCAGATAAGGCTGGGGAGGTCAGCTGTGGCCAGACTGGGAAGGGTCTGGTAGGCTGAGGGAAAGCTTTGAGATTTTAATCAAGTGTGATAGAGAGCTATCACGAATTTTAGAGAAATGAGATGGTCCTATCAAAAGTTTCTATAACATTCTCGCTGCTCTACTAAAATAGATCAGAGAAGGGCAAGTGTAGACCTGGGGAGAGGGTTACGCGGCTTGGCTTGGCTTGGGGCAGGTAGCCTGGGGCCTTAACAGTGGAGTCAGAGCACAGAGGGCAGGCTTGAGATCAACGTTGTGAAAAGAACCAAAAGGACTTGCTCTTGGTGGAGTTGTGCTCCTGGTTTCCCATCTTTAAAAGTGAGTAGATGGGCCTGGCGCAGTGGTTCACGCCTGTAATCCCAGCACTTTGGGAGGCCAAGATGGGTGGATCACCTGAGATCAGGAGTTCGAGACCAGCCTGGGCAACATGGTGAAACCCCATCTCTACTAAAAATACAAAAATTAGCCGGGCGTGGTGGCGCATGCCTGTAATCTCAGCTACTTGGGAGGCTGAGGCAGGAGAATCACTTGAACGCAGGAGGTGGAGGTTGCGGTGAGCCAAGATCACGTCATTGCACTCCAGCCTGGGCGAAAAGAGCGAAACTCCGTCTCAAAGAAAAAAAAAAAAAAAAAAAAGTGAGTAGATGATGGGCGATTCACTGAGATGGGAAGGCCTGGGGAGTGCCATCAGGGTTCTGTTTCATCCATATTAAGTTTTTTGTCATCCAGGACATCATAAATCATCAGATGGGGGGTTAGGTAGAGAGGCTGGGGCTGGAGGTAAAATCTGCTATTTAAAACCATGAGAATGATGTACATTTAAGATCTGTATGTTTGCAAATTGATGCTTGATTTTTAAAATCATAAGAAAGAATGAAACGGGGAAGGGTTTGTAAATAGACCAGAGAGAGAAGCGGCTACGGACAAAGCCCTGGGGCCCTCCAACATTTGGAGCTGAGTGAAGGAGCTGTCTGAAAAGAAGTCTAAGAAAAAGGGCAGCCAAGGAGGGAAGAAAACCAGAAGCCAAGGGAGGATACTGGTTCTTGAAGGAGAGTGTTCAAGGAGACCAGGAGAGGTGGAAGAAGACTTGCTTTTGGGGGCGTGGAGCTCACTGGAGAGCTTGGCTGAGGCTGTTTCAGTGAAGGGGTGGGACCGAAGTCAGGGCAAGCCAGCAAAAGAACGGAAGAGCTGTGCTCTGAAGGAGCGAGTGCAGAAGGCTCTCCAGAGAAGTTTTGCTGTGAAGGGAAGAAGGTCCGAAGCTGGAGGGAATGAGGGATTAAGGCGAAAAGGGGGCTACAAAATTGGAGAGACAGGGTGCCAAGGCATATTTCTTATAATGCTGTGGACGATCCAGGGGAATAGAAGCCACTTCTAACACTGGAGAGAGAGGAGGTAACTGAAGAAAGGGGGACAGGGAGAGGACCTTGGAGTCCAAGCGGAGGCAGGGCCAGCGGCAGGAATTGGGATGCCCTCTCCGCCTAACAAGAGGCCAGGGGGCAGTGGTGGCCGAATGCAAATGTGGGGGCTTCACTGCACACACTTTCGGATGCATGGCACCCCGGCCCGCGTCGCTCCCGGTAACCCCAGGGCACCTACTGCTGGCTCCAATCACGGCCAAGTTGCCCCCACAGACTGGTACGTGATGTGCCACCAACAGCAGGTTCTGCAAACAACCTGTGGGCACCTCTCACTATACGTGCCGGGCACCGAGCGTATCTCATCGGGCCAAGTCCCCCTGGCGCAAGCTCCGCGGGCCCCTCAACTGCTCTAAAGGAGCCCTCGCCCCTACCCCAGGGCAGTGGCTTCCCTCAGCCCCTCCCACAAAGTGAGCCCTCCAACACACCCGAACCCTTTGCGAGCCCGGCTCCCGCCAAGCCCGGGACAACCCGTGAGCCCCTAGTTGGCCCTTAAGAGAAAGCTGCTCCTCACCCTGCCCGGGGCCCCAAGGGGACCACCCGGACGCCCGGAGCCCAGAGGGGGAAGTCAGCACAGCCTCTCCTGGCGTTCGGGCCATCACCCGGGAGCCTTCTGTCCTCTCCCCGGTGCCCACCCTCCCGGCAGCCCGAGTCGTCGCGGGGCGTCCGCGCCCGGCTTTGTCTGCGCCCACGGAGCGCGCCTGCAGGGCGCCCGGGACGCTCCCCTCCCGCACGTAGCCCGGGGGTCCGTCCGGCCCTCTACCCCCGGCGCCCGGCCCGGGCCGAGCAGCCCTGGCGCCGGGATCGCCGCCACCCCGGCCCACACCACTGCTTACCCCGGCGGAAGCCAGGGGGGCGCGGCGCCCCCTGCTCCCCGCGAGCCTCCCGGAACGCCCCGCACCCCCGCCCGAGCGCCCGAGCGCCGCGCTGGCCGCCCAAGCCCCGGGCCGGCCGAGCCCTCGGGGACCGCTCCGGGCCCCTCACCCTCTCGCGGCGGCCGCAGCCCCTGCCTGCGCCCGGGGGAGGCTGAGAGCCGGGGCCCGGGGCCGGAGAGCGGGCGCACCGTACCTTTCCCTGCTGAGCCGGGGAAGTAAGTCTGCGGCGAGCGGCGCTCCGGTCTCGGCCTCCTCCGTCTCTCCTCCTCCGCCAGCCGCCTGGCTTCCTCCTCCAGCCGCCGCCGGGACCGTAGGGGCCCGAGCCAGCCGCCGCGGCCTGTGTGGGGCCCCGCTCCGCCTCGCGTCCCCTACCCACCCCGCTCCGGCCCGGCCCTCCGCTCCGCCTCTGGGCGGGGACCCGCCGAGCTCCTCCCCGGGCCCGCCCCGCCGGGAGCCGGGAAGCTAGAAGCCCCTGAAGCCGGAGACTGCTGGATCCCTGCCTCGGAAACCCGGGTCCCACGCCCACATCTGGGCCCGCACCCCCTCCCTCCCTAGCAGGGGCCCCCCTCCCGCAGGGGACCCACAGCGGGACAGGCCCCGGCGTGTAGCACAGGGCGGCGGCAGAGGTCCAGAAGCCAGGAGGGTAGAGGTGGCCCTGGAGAAATGGGGTTTGATGCTCCCCTCCAAGAGGGAACCGCTTGGGGACAGGCTTCAGGACTGGGACAAGTGAATTTCAGGTGAGGTTTCCTCTCAGCAGAAAAAGCCTTGTCATTGCCCAAGCTATTCCATCCCCTGGAAGCCTCTTCTCCTCACCCCTCCCCACAAATCCCTATGCCCTCTTGGGGTTAAATGTTAGTCTACATGTCACAACCTCCTCTGTGAATCCTCCTGGGTCACCAAGGAGAGCAGAATATTTGTTAGCTCTCAGAATTATATCTCCTGGATTTGAATTCTGCCCCTAAGTAGCCTTAGGTAAGCTTAATCTCTTTGCTTCAGTTTCTTCATTTGTAAAACAGGGTTAATAAATAGTACCTACTCCAAAGAGTTTATTAAATAAGGCCGGGCGCGGTGGCTCATGCCTGTAATCCCCACACTTTGGGAGGCCGAGGCGGGTGGATCACCTGAGGTCAGGAGTTCAAGACCAGCCTGACCAATATGGTGAAACCCGTTTCTACTAAAAATACAGAAATTAGCTGGGCGTGGTGGCGGGCGCCTGTAGCCCCAGCTACTCGGGAGGCTGAAATAGGAGAATCGCTTGAACCCGGGAGGCGGAGGTTGCAGTGAGCCAAGATCACACCACTGCACTCTAGCCTGGGTGACAGAGCAAGACACCATCTCAAAAAAATTAAAAAAAAAAAAGTTTATTAAATAAAAATATTAATATGGACTTGATGGATTACAAATGATGGGAAACTATGCAAATTGGCTTGGTGTAAGCAGACAGGTAATTTATATGCTGACATAAAAGGTGGTCTGACTGATTCAGGTACCAAGAAGCACAAAATACATCAGGATTTGGTCTTCCTTCCCCTATCTTTCATCTCTGTTCTTTGCAGTAGGAAGTTGGCTTCCAGCAGCTCTAGGCTCCACCCTCACAGCCCAAGTCCTCATTTATTTCAGCAAAAAGCCAAGGTGACACCTAGTTGCCTTGGACTGGTTCACATATCATTCCAAACTAATCACTGAGGTTCTGATATTCAGATTAGTTGAGTCTGAGTCACACACCCATCCCTAGAGTCAATTCATCCTAATTCATGTGGTGGAGAGTGAGGAAAGGTGATTTCAGGGCCCTGTTTATCTTTAGAAGGTGAACGGACCCAGAGCTGTGTGCCAAGAACACATTAAGTTCCCAAAAAGTATTGGCCATGGTTGAAGACCTTCATTACATTTCAGGAGTGCCAGTACCTTTTGAACATCTTTCTATGTTAGGGGACCTTTCCATGTCATGAATCCCCAACCCCTCCCCACATGCCAAAGCCAGAAACACTCTTTCCCAGTCTCCTTTGCAGCTGAAGCGCTGGCAGCAGCCAGGCCCTGCCAACAAGATGCACCACTGAAAATTAGTGTATGGAAGTGAGCAATGCTGGGAACATCAAACAGAATGTATCTTTAAAAAATAAAAATAAAAAAGAAGAGAAGCAAGCCATGTGAGGAGGCAGGAGTCACCCAGAATCCACCGGGAGGAGGGTGGAAGGATGGCACTGGAGGCACTAAGGGCAACAGTGGCAGAGATGCTGGAGTACTTGCCCCACTGAACTGAAGATGCACGTCTCAGTTGCCCATTGCTACATAACAAGCTGCCCCAAATATAGTGGTTTAAAACAACGGTTTTTTTTTTTTTGAGTCAGAATCTTGCTCTGTTGCCCAGGCTGGAATACAGTGATGCGATCTCGGCTCACTGCAACCTCCGCCTCCTGGGTTCAAGTGATCCTCCTGCCTCAGCCTCCCAAGTAGCTGGGATTAAACCCAGCTAATTTTTTTGTATTTTTAGTAGAGACGGGGTTTCACCATGTTGGTCAGGCTGGTCTTGAACTCCCGACCTCAGGTGATCCGCCCGCCTCGGCCTCCCAGGCACGAACCACCGTGCCCAGCTGAATGATTTCTTATTTCTCACAATTTTGGGGGTTTGCTGGACTCAGCTGGACAGTTCTACTGCATGTGATGTTGACTGGGGACATTAGCTGGAAGCTTGGCTGAAGCTGGAACAATCAAAATGGCCTCTTTCTCCATGGGACCTCTCCAGCAGGATAGCCTAGACTTCCTTAGCATGTGGTGGCTTGGCTTCCCAGAGGGTGAATATGGAAGCAACCAAACATCTTAAGACCTAGACTCAGAACTGCCAAGCCATGATTTCTACCACATTCTATAGCTGAAGAAAGGCATAAGGCCAGCCCATATTCAAGGGAAGGATAAATCAACTCCACCTCTTGATGGAAAGAGTCTTGTACTCATTTGCTAGGGCTGCCATTACAAAATGCCACAGACTAGGGGGCTTGAACAACTGAAATTTAGTTTCTCACAGTTCTAGAGGCATTAATCCAGATCAAAGTGTAGGTGGGTTCCCTCTAGAAGGGAGAATCTGTTCCAGCCTCTCTCCTATCTTCTGGTAGTTTTCTGGCACTCTGGTGTTCACTGGCTTCATCACCTTCCCATGAGCTATCTCTCAAATCTCCTCTTGTTTTGTTTTGGGGTTTGTGTGTGTGTGTGTGTTGTTGTTGTTGTTGTTGTTGTCGTTGTTGAGACAGAGTCTCGCTTTGTCGCCCAGGCTGGAGTGCAGTGGTGCCATTTCGGCTCACTGCAAGCTCCGCCTTCCAGGTTCACGCCATTCTCCTGCCTCAGCCTCCCAAGCAGCTGGGACTACAGGCACCCACCGTCATGGCCCACTAATTTTTGTATTTTTAGTAGAGACGGGGTTTCACTGTGTTATCCAGGATGGTCTGGATCTCCTGACCTTGTGATCCGCCCGCCTCGGCCTCCCAAAGTGCTGGGATTACAGGCATGAGCCACCGCGCCCGGCCTGTTTTGGGTGTTTTGTTTCGTTTTGTTTTGTTTTGTTTTTGAGACGGAGTCTTGCTCTGTTGCCCAGGCTGGAGTGCAGTGGCAGGATGTCGGCTCACTCCAACCTCCACCTCCCAGGTTCAAGTGATTCTTCTGCCTCAGCCTCCCAAGTAGCTGGGATTATAGGTGTGTGCCACCACGCCTGGCTAATTTTTGTATTTTTAGTAGAGATGGAGTTTCACCATATTGGCCAGGCTGGTCTCGAACTCATGACCTTCTGTCTCAGCCTCCCAAAGTGCTGGGATTACAGGTGTGAGACACCACGCCCAGCTCAAATCTCCTCTTCTTATAAGGACACCAGTCACATTGTATTAGGGCCCACCCTAATGACCTCATTTAACTTGATTACCTCTGTAAAAACCCCAGGGGCTGAAAAACAAACTGTTTATCCTCTGCTGTCATGCCCCAACAATCAATACAGAACACTTCTGTGACCAAACATGGGAAATTGCTCCCCAATAAGTAAGCAAGCAAAGCAATTCTGCAATGGGCAATTTCTTTTTTTGTTTGTTTGTTTGTTTTTTTTGAGATGGAATTTCACTCTTGTTGCCCAGGTTGGAGTGCAGTGGTGCGATCTCAGCTCACTGCAACCTCTGCCTCCCGAGTTCAAGCAATTCTCCTGCCTCAGGCTTCTAAGTAGCTGAGATTACAGGCATGTGCCACCACACCCGGCTAATTTTGTATTTTTAGTAGAGACGGAGTGTCTCCATGTTGGTCAGGCTGGTCTCAAACTCCCAACCTCAGGTAATCCACCTGCCTCGGCCTCCCAAGGTGCTGGGATTACAGGCGTGAGCCAGCGCGCCCAGCCAGCTGGGCATCTTCTAATGCAACTCAATTCCGACGCTATCTATCTAGAGATAGTGGCAGATCCCCCAAGTTGAGGGCTCGGTCCCACAAGACTGCCCCAGCTTCAGATGCCTATTGCAAGCCGAGGCCTCTGGAACTTCTGACCAACCAGCTTCAAGTTAGTGTTCCCATGATCCCTTCTTTGGGCTTGATTAACTTGCTAGAGTGGCTCACAAAACTCCAGAAAACATGTTTACCAGTTTATTAGAAAGGATACTTTAGGTCGGGTGTGGTGGCTCACACCTGTAATCCCAGCACTTTGGGAGGCCAAGGCGGGTGGATCACCTGACGTCAGGAGTTCAAGACCAGTCTGGCCAATATGGTGAAACCCTGTCTCTACTACTAATAAAAAATTGGCCAGGCATGGTGGCACTTGCCTGTAATCCCAGCTACTTGGGAGGCTGACCAGGAGAATCGCTGGAACCTGGGAGGCAGAGGCTGCAGTGAGCCAAGATGGTATCACTGCTCTCCAGCCTGGGAAACAGAGTGACAGTCTCAAAAAAAAAAAAAAAGGATATTTTAAAGAATACAAATATTTCTGGCAGTGGAAGAAAAAAATAAATACGTTAGTGAAGTAATTAATTAATGTAATATCTTTATTTAAATAATACAAATAAATAGCCAGATGATGGGATTATACAGGCGAGGTCTGGAAGTATCCTGAGAACAGGAGCTTCCATTCTTATGAGTTGGGGTACAACACCCTCTGGGCACGTGGATGAGTTCTTGTTCATGTTCCTATGAGTTCAGCTGTCCAGAAACTCCCCAAACCCCTCCTCTTAGGCCTTTTATGGAGACTTCATCGGATAGACATGATTGGTATAAGGACAACTGTGTAGAAATGTGATTAGACAAAAAGGGTATAATCTAATACTAATAGACTGAGTGGGGAAACCCAGCAAGGCCTGTCTGTTCAGATTCTTCTTAGCCTCTCCGTGCAGCAGTCCTTCCTCCAGGGAATGGGGCAAGACCCCTCTGAAATGAGGATTTTATGACCTGCAATTAGATAAGTCAGAGAATTTCTTTATGGCTAGCTCCAAGACAGAAAGATGGGGGGAAATTAGAATATATCTTTCATTTCTACAGCCTGCCTTGGGGAGAAAAAGAAGCAGGTGAAAGGTAGATGAAGAAGGTCAGAGAGAGCAGTTCTGTCTTCTGAGGCCTAAAGTCCCCCAACATTATAACGAAAGACTGCCTTTCACCTTCATGGCTCTGAAGCTGTTCTGAAGCTACTTCAGGAACCAAAGACAAAAGGACAAATAATTTTAACAAAAGATATGTTTTGGTCATTTAGGAAATAATAAGGGCTATGGGAGTTATGAACTAAGAACCATGGACAAAAACATGTGTGTGTGTGTGTGTGTGTGTGTGTGTGTATACACATACACAATATAATCGTGTGTGTATGTGTGGGTGTATATGTACATACACAATATCGTGTGTGTGTGCGTATATATATACACAGTATATTGTGTGTGTAATATACACACACACACACAATATACGGTGTATATATATACATACACACATACACACAAACAATATATCATGCCTTATCTTCAACTAAGGTCATATCTTGTGGTACTCAGGGTTACGACCCCAGCATATTTAGGGGGACACAATTCAACCCATAACCACTGTGCATCAGGAATTGAAGGACTCCTTGGCAGCCATCTTTGCAAGTAATCTACCACCAAGCAGAAGCCCCCAGGAATACCTTGCTGTTGTCTTCAAGAACAGATTCCTAGGGCAGGCAGGTTCAACTAAAGCCTGGGAACTGCAAATTCTCCTTATAAGTCACACCAGCAGCACCAGCAGCCTTGGGTAGAATCTGTTTTTCTACCTCACCAAGGAGGCCTTTGGAGCCTGATTGGTGTAAAATGGAGTGGAGCTGAGAAGTCTCCTCATCGTTTCCTCACAGGACAACGAGGGGAAGGAGGTCGGGTGCGGGTATCTAATGGCCAGCTGTGAAGCCTTCGGCAAGTTTGGAGAACTCCATTTTGTCTTCTGTAAAATGGAGGTAATGATAAAAGTCTGCCTCTCGGGGATGTAGTAAGGATTAAAAAGAATAAAGGGTGTGAAAAGTGATGTCCAAGCCATCAGGTCCTCTCCAAATGTCAGTAATTATTAGCACCAGTCTCTGTCACATTAGTGCAGCTGACTTAGATTCCATTTTGTGTTGGAACATTAGTAAAGCATTGATCACAGTCAGATTTCACATGTGCGGAGCACTTCACACCCACCATCACAAGGCGCTGGGTTACCATGTATGATGAAAGGTGAGTAACAAAGAAGGGCTTTAAGAAATATGTTAGTTACAGTAATGCTGGCTAGTGGAACAGAGACCCAAGAATAAATGACTCCAACGTAATAGAAGTTTAGATCTTACGGACACAATAAAGGAATATTCCTGTTTCATAATGGCCTTCCTCCACATAGTGATTCAGGGATCTAGGCTCATTCCATCTTGTGCCTCCAACAACCGTTAAGGTCTTGTAGTAATCTGCATAAAACCAGCAGCAGAGGAAAGTCTTAGCTTGAAAAATGACATACTTCCACTCACATGCCATTTACCAAAACCAGTCACATAGTCACATCTAAGTACGAAGAAGGCTGGGAAATGTGTCCTAGCTGTATATCCAGGAAGGGTAGGAAAGTGATGTTTGGTGAACAGCCAGCACTCTTTGCCAAGAGGAATTTTATAAAGGAATGGGTCATGTATATCCACAGAAACGTAGTTTCCAGTTGGAAGATATAGTGGACTGACGTATTGGCCACGTTCCTCACTTCCTTACATAGTATTTTGCATCCACATTCTTGCCATGGACTCGGAAAAGAGGATTATATTTTCCTAACTACTGATATTGGGCTTGACAGTGTGGCTTTCCCTGGCCAATGAAATAGGGAAGAAGTGGTAGTGTGTCCCTACTGAGCCTTAGCTTTAAGAGTTCTCACGTGTTTCCACTTCCTTGTGCTTTTATCATCTCTATTAAAAGCCTTTTCCTAGACAGCCACTGCCCTTCAGCCTAGGGCCACAGAATGAACACAGAAGCAGACCAGAACTCAATCCAGCACCCAGAGGCAAACTCACCCAAAGAGTAACTTGAGGCAGAGCCGCCTATCTGATCCAAGCTTAGCTCAGCTTGTAACACCCAGCTAACTTATAGATACAGGAGATCAGTAGAGTCATCCCAGACACCCTACTCACATGAGAAATAAATAGGAATTGTTGTGTGCCAATTTCATGGTTGTTTCACAGCACTGTCATGGTGATAACTGGCTGACACAGAGGACAAATAAAGAACATCCCTCACTTGCCCAGTCTTTTCATAACTTGTGTCAGTGTCATATGATTGAAAAAAGAATTAGAAAACAAGAAGGTGCATGGCTTAAAACCAGGCCTGTATGGTCATGTAGTAAATGAATGTTGCATTCGAAGTCAAGGCCAAACTGTATGCCTTATCATCTCCTCTACACATATTCTGACTGGTTATCCTCGGGTTTCTCCTCCAAGACAGAAGTCCCTGATCTTCAGCCAACATTTTTGGTTACTGTATGGTTGTCCCAATGGAACAATGATGCATTGATGAAAAGACACTAATAGACCCAGGCAAAGGATGAATCCAAGTTCCATTCCTGTGGATAAAAGCTCCAATTTTGTACACCCATGGGTGGGAGATACTGCAGCAAGCTCTGATGGGAAGGCAAGCCTCCGTGGCCTTCAGGTTCCCACTGAAGAAGGCCAACTACTGCTGAGACCACCCGTCAAGATGAGACTCCTGACAGGTCACTAAGGCAGACTGCATACAAATCACCTGGGGACCTTGTTAAAATGCAGGTTCAGATTCAGCAGGTCTGGGATGGGGCCTGAGGTTCTGTATTTCTTTCTTTTTTTTTTTTTTTTTGAGATGGAGTCTCACTCTGTCACCCAGGCTGGAGTGCAGTGGCGCGATCTCAGCTCACTGCAACCTCTGCCTCCCAGGTTGAAGCAATTCTCTTGCCTCAGCCTCCTGAGTAGTTGGTACAGCAGTCGTGTGCCACCACGCCTGGCTAATTTTTTGTATTTTTTAGTAGAGATGGGGTTTCACCATATTGGCCAGGGTGGTCTCGAACTCCATCTAAAAAAAAGTGACCTTTTAATTTAATTTAATTTTATTTTAGCACCTGACCAACTTGTTACCCAGGCTAGGGTACAATGGTGAGATCTCAGCTCACTGCAACCTCCACCTCCCGGATTCAAGCGATTCTCCTGCCTCAGCCTTCTGAGTAGCTGGGATTACAGGCACTCGCCACCATGCCCGGCTAATTTTTGTATTTTTAGTAGAGACAGGGTTTCACCATGTTGGTCAGGCTGGTCTCAAACTCCTGAACTCAGGTGATCCACCCACCTCGGCCTCCCAAAGTGCTGGGATTACAGGCGTGAGCCATGGTGCCCGGCCGAAACACTTGCTTTTTAACCAGGACGATTTAATACCTGTTTTATATCAAAACAAGGATAGAAACATGGAGATGAGCTTGAAATTTATATGAGTTTTTAAGGTGAAATCCCAGGCTTCAAAGTAATTCCAGGTTTGCTGCTGATGGCCTCAAGTTGGGGCTAGGATCTGTCCTTTGGACGGTTCAGAGAGGTTTTCAGATTTGCAAGTGAAAATACAAGTTATCGCCCTCAGAAATAATACCACACATCTACAACCATCTGATCTTTGACAAACCTGACAAAAACCAGAAATGGGGAAAGAATTCTCTATTTAATAAATGGTGCTGGGAAAACTGGCTAGCCATATGTAGAAAGCTGAAACTGGATCCCTCCCTTACACCTTATGCAAAAATTAATTCAAGATGGATTAAAGACTTAAACGTGGCCGGGCGCGGTGGCTCACGCCTGTAATCCCAGCACTTTGGGAGGCCGAGGCGGGTGGATCATGAGGTCAGGAGATCGAGACCATCCTGGCTAACAAGGTGAAACCCCGTCTCTACTAAAAATACAAAAAATTAGCCGGGCGCGGTGGCGGGCGCCTGTAGTCCCAGCTACTCGGGAGGCTGAGGCAGGAGAATGGCGTGAACCCGGGAAGCGGAGCTTGCAGTGAGCCGAGATTGCGCCACTGCAGTCCGCAGTCCAGACTGGGCGACAGAGCGAGACTCCGTCTCAAAAAAAAAAAAAAAAAAAAAAAAAAAGACTTAAACATTAGACCTAAAACCACAAAAACCCTAGAAGAAAACCTAGGCAATACCATTCAGGACATAGGCATGGGCAAGGACTTCATGTCTAAAACATCAAAAGCAATGGCAACAAAAGCCAAAACTGACAAATAGGATCTAATTAAACTAAAGAGCTTCTGCACAGCAAAAGAAACTACCATCAGAGTGAACAGGCAACCTACAAAATGGGAGAAAATTTTTGCAATCTACTCATCTGACAAAGGGCTAATATCCAGGATCTACAAAGAACTCAAACAAATTTACAAGAAAAAAACAACCCCATCAAAAAGTGGGCGAAGGATATAAACAGACACTTCTCAAAAGAAGACATTTATGCAGCCAAGAGACACATGAAAAAATGCTCATCATCACTGGCCATCAGAGAAATGCAAATCAAAACCACAATGAGATACCATCTCACACCAGTTAGAATGGCGATCATTAAAAAGTCAGGAAACAACAGGTGCTGCAGAGGGTGTGGAGAAATAGGAACACTTTTACACTGTTGGTGGGACTGTAAACTAGTTCAACCATTGTGGAAGACAGTGTGGCGATTCCTTAAGAATCTAGAACTAGAAGTACCATTTGACCCAGCCATCCCATTACTGGGTATATACCCAGTGGATTATAAATCATGCTGCTATGAAGACACATGCACATGTATGTTTATTGTGGCACTATTCACAATAGCAAAGACTTGGAACCAACCCAAATGTCCATCAATGATAGACTGGATTAAGAAAATGTGGCACATATACACCATGGAATACTATGCAGCCATAAAAAAGGATGAGTTCATGTCCTTTGTAGGGACATGGATGAATCTGGAAACCATCATTCTCAGCAAACTATCGCAAGGACAAAAAACCAAACACTGCATGTACTCACTTATAGGTGGGAATTGAACAATAAGAACACATGGACACAGGAAGGGGAACATCACACACCGGGGCCTGTCATGGGGTGGGGGGAGGGGGGAGGGATAGCATTAGGAGATATACCTAATGTAAATGACGAGTTAATAGGTGCAGCACACCAACATGGCACATGTATACATATGTAACAAACCTGCACGTTGTGCACATGTACCCTAGAACTTAAAGTATAATAAAAAAAATAAAAAATAAAAAAATACAGTTTACCCAGTTACGTCTGAATTTCAGGCAGACAATGAATAATTTTTCAGTAGAAGCACTGGCCCAGCCACACAGCAATGAGTGGCAGATCTGGGTCCCCCGGACTATCTGGATTTTCACCATCATTCTTGGTGTGTAATCAGCCCAGGAGGCCAGATTCCTGGAGAGTTTCAGGTAACCTCAGTAATTCCACAAATCCCTTTAGAGCAGCCCAGGCCACACCTCTAGAATCGGCTTATGTGAGTTTTGTTTATTCCTTGATTTTTTCTTTGATAATCTTTGTATGCTTAGGCCCTTATCTCAGAGTTTAGGAGTCAGGTCATAGGCCAGTATCTTAAAATCAGAGCACCCATCTTTTTTTTCCTTTTTATTTTATTATCATTTTATTTATGTATTTATTTATTTTTTGAGACAGAGTTTCGCTCTTGTCTCCCAGGCTGGAGTGCAATGGTACTCTGCCTCTTGGGTTCAAGCAATTCTCCTGCAACCTCTGCCTCTTGGGTTCAAGTGATTCTCCTGCCTCAGCCTCCTGAGTAGCTGGAATTACAGGCACTCGCTACCACACCTGACTAATTTTTGTATTTTTGACAGAGACGGGGTTTCACCATGTTGGCTAGGCTGGTCTTGAACTCCTGATCTTAGGTGATCCACCCACCTCAGCCTTCCAAAGTGCTGGGATTACAGGTGTGAGCCACCACACCCGGCCTAATATTATTTTTTTAATCAGCTTCTTCAGATTTATTATTATTATTATTACTTTGAGACAGAGTTTCATTCTTGTTGCCCAGGCTAGAGTGCAATGGCACAATCTCGGCTCAGCACAACCTCCACCTCCTGGGTTCAAGCGATTCTTCTGCCTCAGCCTCCTGAGTAGCTGGGATTACAAGCATGCGCCACCATGCTCAGCTAATTTTTTTGTATTTTTAGTAGAGACAGGGTTTCTCCACGTTGGTCAGGCTGGTCTCAAACTCCTGACCTCAGGTGATCCTACTGCCTCAGCCTCCCCAAATGCTGGGATTACAGGCGTGAGTCACCGCGCGTGGCCAATTTTTTTATTTTTATAGAGATGGGGTCTTGCAATGTTGCTCAGGCTGGTCTCGAACTCCTGGCCTCAAGCTATCTTCCCGCCTTGGTCTCCCAAAGTGCTGGGGTTACAGGTGTGAGGCACCACACCTAGCCTTTCAAGCACTTTTTTTTTTGCCTCAGGTTCCTCCAACTTTCTACTTAAATGCCATCGCCTCCACCATCTGTCCTCTCACAGGCCTGCCCCCTTCCCCAGCCCATACCACCGGCCCCTGGAAACTTTGTCAGTTTCCAGCGTCACCCTGAACAGTAGCCACTGCACAGCATTTAGAGAAATCAAGAAAAGCAAAGGAGTGCATCTCAAATCACATGAATTAAGGAAGGGCCCGGTCAGGGGAGGTGGAACAGGGAGGCGGTGTGGTGAAGGGCACCCGTCCTGTAAGCCCTTTATCTTGTCTGGCTCTAACTCCTTCATGAGGAATCACAGCACCACCGGACAAGGTGCCTCCTAATGTCGCCCCTCCGGCATCTCCCTTTCTGCTTCTTACTCCTCCCCTGACCCTGTGAGCAGCTGCAGGCCGCGTGCTCAGCCTCAGTCAGATCTTTTCCGAGCCCTGAGCCATGCCAGGCAGGCTGGGGCATCCGTGTCAACAGCACAGGAGATGACCTCGGCCCAGCTGCCAATCCCACAGCATCCCAAACATCAACTCCAGTAGGGCAGCCTGACCTGGTCATGGCTATGTGTATGCCTGTGTGTGTGTCAGCGCCCTGGTTCCCACTCCACCCTGTGGGGGTCCTGGTGGATGGCCTCGCTGGCCACAACCCACTGGGTCAGCAACAAGTAAACAGGATGGACCGATGGCTGCTCCAAAAGCAGATGCCACTCACTATCTAAACAGGAAGGAAACGCTCAACCCATGGGAAGGCTGCCTCCATGCTCTCAGTGATGCAAGAGAGAGGGAAGGAGGAGAGAAAAGAGAAGGGGGAGGAGAGGAATGGAGAAGAGCAAAGGCAAAGAAGTAGTGAAGGAGTCAGGGAGAAGAAAGCAGGGCAAAATTGAGGACATCACAAAACCAAGGTCTTGGGCTACTGTTCCCACCAGGTGCCCTGCGCCCTCCAGGTCCTGCTCCTCGCCAAGCTTCCCTGCCTCCCACTTATCGCTCCGGCCCTGCCCCTGGCCAGCCCACCCCATATCTGACCTCCTGCCCCTCACCCCACCTTCCTCCACTCTCCTGCTATGCCCTGCCCCTGCTACAGCTTGTCCTAGAAATCCTCAAGGATAAACCCACCCCCAGGGTTCCCTTCCTTTTGCACAGAAAAGTTCCAGAGGGCTGGGCTTATCTTCTCTCCTTTGGGGCAGCTATGATATCAGAGGATACACAATTTCTCCATTTTCAAATAGGGACACTGAGCCCTCCATTGGTCCACCCAAGGCCGCCAGCAAATGAGGAACAAATCTAGCCTTTCAGCTTCTGTCCTCTTTCCTGATCCACTTATTGCTGATCTTTCTTGGTTTGCCTCCCCTGGTCTCGAAGGTAACTGTGCCTTGATGGGAGCATCCCAGAGCTGGTGACTCAGGTAGGGGGAGGCTGGGGCCGCCAACTTCCTGGGAGGAGCTGTTAGTTACCCATTAAATAGACCATCCTCTGAGTCACTGGAAGGACTGGGAAATCCTGGAGGTTGGGAGAGGCTGAGTCATCTTTGTCTTTATTTCAGCAGAGAAGAAAAAGGCCTCCCACAGAGAATGGCCAAGCCAGGTCACTGCTATTTCCCAACAGAAATGAAAACTGGAATTGAGCCATGTGGAAAGATGGACCAGGCCACAAGAAGGTCTTCGGGACAACCCTGAAAGAGGTGACCCAGGGAGACAGAGTCCAGGGTCCTTTCAAATCACTGCTGGCAGGAGCAAAGATCAAGATAGGTGAAACCTGATATTCAAATGCAGGCGTGGAAAAAGAATAGGTACATTGAAGTGTGTTGTTTGTCTTGATAAATAATCCTTCATTAGAAAGATTCAGAGTTCCTCTGAATGGCATTCCATGCTTGGAAATTTCCAGGGTTTACTTATAGTTCTGTCCCTGGCGAAGAGAGAAGACACCCCTGGAGCTCATACCACATGAACTTCTGCCTCCTCGAAGAACTGAAGCCATTCTCATCCAGACGTTTTGGGTCATCTGCATGCGCTGGGCTCCTTCGCCCTAGTTCAGTGCTTCTCAAACTTTCAGAATCACCTGGAGAGCTTGTGAAAAACAGATGGCTGAGCCCCGCCCGCGGAGTTTCGGATCCAGTAGGTTTGGGGTGGTGCCCCACGGTTTGCATTTCTTAGTTTCCTGGTGATGCCGATGCTGCTCGCCCATCAAGCTCACTTTGAGAATCACTGATGGAGTTAGACCCACCTACTACGCTCTCTGCACACACCCCAGAGAGCTCTCAGAGAGAGAGCGCTGCTGGGGAAATCACTCAACCCTGTCCTAGGGGCTGTCTGTCCCACCCTGCTGTCCCTTCTGAGACACGGGAGGCATCCTGCTCCTAGCAAAAGCCATTCACTCCACTGTGCCCCTCCTCCTTCAGTTCTCCCTCCTCTCCTGTTTCTTCCATCTCTCCCTGTCTCATGGACTGTTCCCATAAAAATACACACATTTTCCAGCCGCTCTCATCTAAACAAAACAAGGTTACCCTAACCTCCTTATCTGCCTCCAGCGACCACGCCCCTCCTCCGTGATATTCACAGCAAACCTTCTTCAAGGCTTGTGGGTCCTTCCCATCCCCAGCTCCTTCCTTCCCAGCCCACTGCAGGCCAGCTTCCTTTTCCAGCACCTCCCACGTGGCCAAATCCGATGGTCCCCACCTCGCTCAATCTCTCAGAAACATCCAGTCCACTGACCGCTGCCTCCCTCTGGGAAGGCTTTCTGCTGTAGACGTCTCGGACCCTACACTCTCCCGGTTTTCCTCCTGCCTCACGGGACAATGCTCCTCTGAATGTGGGAGGGCCCCTCTTGGTCCTGACTGCCTCCCCTTCCCCACACTCTCGCTAGCCCCATGGCTTCAACGTGGTGTCTGCTGAATCTACGTCTAGAGCCCTGGTCACTCGCTAGAGCTTGGATTTTTATCAAACTACCTCCTGAGCACCTCAAACTTAACATGGCCAAAATAAAATTCTTGATTTCTTCTGCCCAACATGTGTGTGTGTGCATGTAGTAAAAGATACAAAGCACAACATTTATCATTTTAATCTTTCGTGAGACAGGGTCTCGCTCTGTTGCCCAGGCTGGGGTGCACTGGCACAATCATAGCCATCCTCCTGCCTGGGCTCAAGCCATCCTCCTGTCTCAGCCTCCTGAATAGCTGGGACTACAGGTGTGTGCCACCATACCTGGCTTTATTTATTTATTTGTTTATTCATTTATTTATTTTTGTAGAGATAGGGTCTCCCCATATTGCCCAGGCTGGTCTCAAACTCTTGGCCTCAAGCTCCCTCCCAAAACACTGGGATTACAGGCATGAGCCACTGCGCCCAGCTCATGTTAACCATTTTTAAGTGTGTAGTTCAGTGGCATGCAGTGTATTCACAATTCGTGTGTCCATTACCACTATCCATTTCCAGAACTCTTTCACTAACCCAAGCTCAAATTCTGTGCTCTTTACACAATGACACCCCCCTGCCCCACCTCCAGCCCCTGGTGACCACTATTCTGCTTTCTGTCTCTATGAATCTATGGTGGGCACCTCACATACGCAGACTCACACGATATTTGTCCTTTGTGTCTGCCTGCCTGTCTTTTCCTCCCTCAAGTTCTATCATTCTTCAATTGCCTAAGAATACTCCCCAGCAAATAGAATTGGTGATTGGCAGGCTGCTCCAAGAAGGTTTCTGAGCTGTTGTTCTTCAGTATTATTATTATTTTTTCCTTTTTTAATGAGACAGGGTCTTGCTATGTTGCCCACACTGGTCTTGAACTCCTGGGCTCAAGCGATCCTCCTGCCTCCCAAAGTGCTAGGATTACAGGTGTGAGCCACCACACTCAGTCTCTTCAGTATTATTTTTTCAGGCATTTCTGTTTTGTTCCTTAAAATTTGTAAATACAGAAAATAAAATAAAAATAACCAAG
Organism: Homo sapiens; assembly: GCF_000001405.40. Lineage (NCBI taxonomy): Eukaryota > Metazoa > Chordata > Mammalia > Primates > Hominidae > Homo > Homo sapiens. The sequence goes on along the minus strand of NC_000020.11, from coordinate 4,133,299 downwards.
AAAGACAAACACCATGCTCCTGCTTCTCAGATATGATTATTGTGAACATTATATGTCATTTGCCTTGTCATTCTTTTTTTGTAGACAGGCACAGTGGTTCATACCTGTAATCTCAGAGCTTTGGGAGGCCGAGGCAGGAGGATCGTTTGAGGCCAAGATTTCAAGGCTACAGTGAGCTATGATTGCACCACTGCACTCCAGCCTGGGTGACAGAGCAAGACTCGGTCTCAAAAAAAAAAAATCAATAAAATCAAAAAAGCAAATAAATACAAGAAATGAAACACTACAAGTCAAATTGTAGTCTCCTTTGGATCCCTACTGCCAGAGGCAACAACAGATAAATTAAGTATGTATCCATTTAATCGGCTTCTTTGGTTTAAACTTATATCATATTTCATCTAATTTGATCAATTTCATCAATTGTGAGACACACTTTTTTTTTTTTTTTTTAGATGGAGTCTTGCACTGTCGCCTGGCCTGGAGTGAAATGGTGCTATCTCGGCTCACTGCAACTTCTGCCTCCCGGGTTCAAGCGATTCTCCTGCCTCCACCTCCCGAGTAGCTGGGATTACAGGCGCCCGCCACTACACCTGGCTAACTTTTTGTATTTTTAGTAGAGATGGGGTTTCGCTATGTTGGCCAGGCTGGTCTTGAACTCCTGACCTCGTGATCCACCCACCTTGGCCTCCCAAAGTGCTGGGATTACAGGCATGAGCCACCACACCTAAGATGCACTATTATTTTAACCCCCACTTAAAAGGAAAAATATTGCCAATTAAATTCTGACACAATCCTTTATCATTCCGACACAATACTTTATAATCTTAGATTTTTATTTTATACTTATTGAAAGAAATCTTAAACATACATATTTTATCATACTTTTTTACCATACCATATTTTAGCAAATCTAAAATTCCATCTATTTTAAGATGCAATCTGATTTCAGAAAGATTTTTGGCCAGGTGCAGTGGCTCATACCTGTAATCCCAGCACTGTGGGAGACCCAGGCAGGCAGATACTTGAGCCAGGGAGTTCCAGACTAGCTTGGACAACATGACAAAACCCCATCTCTACAAAAAATAGAAAAATTAGCTGGGCGTGGTGGTGTGTGCCTGTAATCCCAACTACTCGAGAGGCTGAGGTGGGAGGATGGCCTGAGCCCAGAGAGGTCGAGGTTACAGTGAGCTGTGATTGTGCCATTGCACTCCAGCTTGGGCAACAAAGTGATACCCTGTCTCAGAAAAAAAGGAAGAAAGAATTTTTTTACTGTGTGTCTTAGAATCAATGAATTATGGCTTATCACTCTTGTGCATACATAAGAAGGAAATAAGCAAAATAAAATGGGTTAAGTATTCCTAAAACTTCACGTCTAAAGTTCAACCCTTCTATACCACTTTTTTTTAATTAGTAAATTTTTGTTTTAGCAGTTTTAGGTTTACAGAAAAAACTGAGTAAAAAGTACAGAGAGATGTCATATACTCCTTCACCTTCCTCCCAATCTTCCCTATTTTTAACATCTTGCATTAGTGTGGTACATTTGTTCCAGTTAATGAGCCCATATTGATGTATTATTATTAACTAAAGTCTCTACTGACATTAGGATTCACTCTTGGTATACATTGCATGAGTTTTTGACAAATGTATAATGATATGTATCCAACATTATGATATCGTACATATCATACAATTACATATCATATCATAATTACATATCATATCATAATTACATATCATAATTTCACTGCCCTAAAAACCTCCTATGTTCTACATATTCGTCCCTCCCTCCTCCAGAGCCCCTGGCAACCACTGATCTTTTTACCGTCTTCATAGAATATCCTAGGGTTGCAATCGTACAATAAGTAGCCTTTTCACATTGGCTTCTTCCACTTAACTGTAAATGGTTGAAGAGTCTTCAAATGGTCCTGAAATGTCAAAGTATGCCAGCGTCTGGTCATACTACCAAGTCACTATACTTTCTGGTGAGTTTATAGTACTTTTTAATAATTTTTAAAATTATTTTCCATACTAGAATGCAAACTTTTGGAGGTTCTTAGAGGTCATCTTGTATTTTCACATGAATAAGGAGAGGAAATTTGAGACAGAGGAGAGAAAGGTCAGATGTGTTCATCTGATCCAGTTCTTGGTAAAGTAGGTGGAAAAGTCGTCTGTTAAAAAGTCAGAGAGGGCTAGAGGAAGTGGTTCTGGAAATCTGACTCAACAACAAACAGCGTTTTTGGTGGGGGGAGGGGGTGTGGGTATGTGTTTGCAGGAGTGTGTAATAAACATCATTTACTTCCATGTTGAAGAGAGTGAGGTTATAAAATACCCTGAGGATGCCTCGATTTTTTTCTTCTTTTTTTAAAGGTATAATTTACATAGGGTAATGTTCACTCTTTCTAGTGTATACTTCTGCAAGTTTTGATGCATTCACGCAGTTATGTTATCACCACCAGAATCAATATATAAAAGAGTCGCATCACCCCCAAAATATTCCTCCATGCCCCTGTGTGATCACCTCTTCCCTTCCCCCAGCCTCTGAAAACAACTGACCTATTTTCCCTCCCTACAGTTTTGCCTCTTCCAAAATATACAGTATGTGTAGCCTTTTGAGTCTGGCTTCTTTCGCTTAGCTTAATGTATTTGAGATTCATTCATGCCAATGTGTATATTAGTTGTTCATATTTTATTGCTGAGTAGTATTCCTTTATATGGTTATACCACAGTTTATCCATTCACTAATTGAAGGACATTTGAGTTGTTTCCTCTTTGGAGAGATTATGACTGAAGCTGCCATATACATTTACATACAGATTTATGTGTGAACGTAAGTTTTGTTGTTTGTTTGTTTTTACAGATAGGGTCTTGCTGTCGCCCAGGTTAGAGTGCAGTGGCTATTCACAGATACAATCATAGTGCACTACAGCGTGTAACTCCTGGGCTCAAGCGATCCTCCTGCCTCAGCCTCCCAAGTAGCTAGAACTACAGGCATGCACCACTGCACCTGGCTCAGAACATAAGTTTTTATTTCACTTGGATAAATACTAGAATTTGGATTGCTGGGTCATATAGTAGGTGTATAGTAACATTTCATTGTAGTTTTAATTTACATTTCCATAAAAATTAATGATGTTGGACATTTTCTTTTTTGAAACAGAGTCTGGCTCTGTTGCCCAGGCCAGAGTGCAGTGGCACTATCTCAGCTTACTGCAACCTCTGCCTCCCAGGTTCGAGGGATTTTCCTGCCATAGCCTCCCAAGTAGCTGGGATTATAGGTGCACACTACCATGCCCAGCTAATTTTTGTATTTTTTTTTAGTAGAGACAAGGTTTCACCATGTTGGCCGGGCTGGTCTCAAACTCTTGATCTTAAGTGATCCACTGGCCTCGGCCTCCCAAAGTGCTGGGATTACAGGCAGGAGCCACCGTGCCCGGCCCAGCATTCTTTCATGTGCTTTATTGTCATCTGTATCTTTTTCAGTGAAGTGTCTGTTAAATCCTTTGCCCATTTTTATTGGGTTGTCTTCTTATCAGTGAATTTTGAGAGTTATTCTTATATTCCAGAGTTTTTAAAATAGAAGAACCTCAAAATGATTCTATCATGTGTTTCCTTTAAACCATATTTCTCTCTTAGGTTTCCATCACATATTTCAAAATAAAGGTAGTCATAGTCTTTCTGATGGCAGCAAATGTTTTAGCCTGAAATTACTGTTTTCTCAACCCCGCAAAGCATTTGGTGACAGTGGTTTTGTTTCCACTTCAGATGCTCCTTTCTGAAAATTGGGCAAGAGGCAGAGCCGTTAGAAAAGGCCGTGTCTAGGTCAGGCACGGTGACTCATCCCTGTAATCCAGCACTTTGGGAGGCCAAGGTGGGTGGATCACCTGAGGTCAGGAGTTCGAGACCCGCCTGACCAACATGGAGAAACCCCATCTCTACTAAAAATACAAAATTAGCTGGGCGTGGTGGTGCATGCCTATAATCCCAGCTACTCGGGATGCTGAGGCAAGAGAATCACTTGAACCTGGGAGGTGGAGGTTGCAGTGAGCTGAGATCGCGCCATTGCACTCCAGCCTGGGCAACAAAAGCAAAACTCCATCTCAAAAAAAAAAAAAAGAAGAAGAAGAAGTCGTGTCTGGTGCTACAAAGTAAATATGATGGAAAAACATATTTGCCTTTATTTTTTCTCTTTATCTCTTGTTTGCATCTGAGACTTTCTATCTGAGTTTATTTTATTTCTATCTAAAGGACTTGCTGAACAATCTTTTGTAACATTCTGCTGGGGGTAAACCCATATTTTAGATGTTTTGTTTTATGAACATGCCTTTTTTCACCTCTTTCTTAAAAGATGTTTTAGCTGGGCATAAAATTCTATGAATTTTTTTCCCAACACATTGAAAATATTATTCCCAGTTTCTCCTCATTTCCACTGCCATCTAACTAAAAGTAATCTGACATTTCTTCTCTAGGGGCTACTCCTAAGAATTGGTGAAATATAAGTCAAACAAAATTTGATGAAATTATAAGCAGAAATTGACAAATCCATTATCTTGGTGTAAATTTTTAGCACACTTCTTTCAATAACTGAGAACTAAGTAGATTAAATATTTTTAAGGAATACAGGTGATTTGAACAATTGTGTTAGTAAGCTTGATCTAAAAGGCATATATAGAACCTTGCACCCAGCAAAACAAACAAAAAAAAGCATTATTCTTCTCAAGTGCATACACAATATTTCCAAAAATTGACCACATAATAGACCATAGAGCAATCAATAGCTAACCAATAGCAAAGAATGAGTATCATAAATGTTCTCTTGGCTGGGCGCGGTGGCTCATGCCTATAATCTCAGCACTTTGGGAGGCAGAGGCGGACGGATCACAAGGTCAGGAGATTGAGACCATCCTGGCTAACACAGTGAAACCCCGTCTCTATTAAAAATACAAAAAATTAGCCAGGCGTGGTGGGACGTGCCTGTAATCCCAGCTACTCGGGAGGCTGAGGCAGGAGAATCGCTTGAACCTGGGAGGCGGAGGTTGCAGTGAGCCGAGATTGTGCCATTGCACTCCAGCCCAGGTGACAGAGCGAGACTCCGTCTCAAAAAATAAATAAATATAAATAAATAAGTAAATAAAAGTTCTCTTGATGCAAATAAATTGATTTATAAATCTCACAAAAAATTACTAAGAAACACATTTATAAATTACTTTCAAACACATTTCTAAGTGTTACAGATAAAATAATAAATCTATAATAAATAACGAAATAGTACAAATATGAAATTATAAAAATACTATATCTTTTTTTTCTTTGAGACATTATAGTATTATAGTATTATATAAATACTATATCTTTTTTCTTTCTTTTTTCTTTGTTGCCAAGGCTGGTGTCAAACTCCTGGGCTAGAGCAATCCTCCTGCCTCGACCTCCCAAAGTGCTCGGATTATAGTAGCTGTGAGCCACTGTAGTCAGCCAAAATACTATATCTTATTGGATGTAATAGCTGCTATTGGTGCCCCAACCATATCCCCTATAACAGGTCAATGTGCCCATCCTCTGGCTGCTGTGAGTGTTGCCTGCCAGTAGCTCCGTGACTGCTCTTTTCCATAGAATTGCCCTCAGTTGATGAGAGCCACTTCACCTGGACTTTATGTGCCAGCCACCACTTCCACAGTGGTCTGCAGCCAATCACTGACTCAAATAGGGATACAAAATCCAGCCCACTTGCCTCAAGGAAGGACCAGTTCCACGGCCATTCATACTCCAGAATCTTGGGCTCAAGCCAAGGCTAGACTCCAGCTGAACACACATCCTTGCTTAACTCCTTCCTCTTCTTCATCCATCTCCCCTCTGCTCCCTTATTCTGAGTGCCCTCCTTAAATACATCACACATACAAGAATACCTATAGCAGGTGCTGCCTCTAGGAAGGAGGATGTAAGACTGATGTATAACCATGCATGGTAATGTTAAAAAAAAAAGAAAGGCTGAAAATTATTGAGTGATGTAGCCAACATTAAATATGAAAGAATGAATAATAGAACAAATCCAAAGAAAGTAGAAAAAATAAAACAATAAGATTTAGATATTAAATACCTAAATTATTAAATAAAATGGCTGGGCAAGGTGGCTCGTGCCTGTAATCTCAGCACTTTGGGAGGCCAAGGCAGGAGGATCACTTGAGGTTCGAGACCAGCCTTGGCAACATGGAGAAACCTTGTCTCTACTAAAAATACAAATATTAGCCGGGTGTGGTGCACGCATCTACAATCTCAGCTACTTGGGAGCCTGAGGCAGGAGAATCCCTTGAACCCAGGAGGCGGAGGTTGCTGTGAGGTGAGATTGGGCCACTGCACTCCAGATTGAGTGACAGAGCGACATCTCTAAAATAAAGAAATATCTACGAAACATATAAGAAAGAAGGTACAACTTAACAATAAGGAAAGTGAAAAAGCAATGCATAATGGTGAAAAAAAACAGAAATTTAAACTATAAACCATTATAAATTACAAATAAATTTTTACCACTAAACTTAAAAACTTAGATGAAAATGGGTAACTCCCTGGAACATAGATCCATGCAAAACTGACTCAAGAAGAAATAGAAAAGCTAAATAATTTTATAATCATTTGGGAAATGTAATCAGAAGTTTAAAAATCTACCTTGTAAAAAAAAATAGGCTCTGATGTTTTCACAGGCAGTTTCTTCAAAGTATTTAAGAAACAGATCATTCCCATCTCATAAAACTCTTCCAGAAAATAAGAAGAGAACATGCCTCAATGCACTTAATGGGGTTAGAAAAACTTTGATACCCAAACCAAACAGGAACAAAATGAGAAAGAAAATTCTGACCTATATCATTCATAAATATAGATATAAAAATTCAAAATAAAATTCTGCAAGCTGTATTCAGTAATGTGTTCAAAGCAATAATGCATTATGTCCTAGAGTTACCTCCAGAATTCAGAAATGGTCTAACATTTAAATGTATTAACTAGTCACTTAATTATTAAAATTTAAAACTATACAAGACTATCTCAAATGAAGAAAAATTAAATTAAATTCACACCAAGTAAGGATAAAAAATCCTAGATATCTACAAAAGAATGAAACTCCCCCAACCTGGTGAAAGATATCCACCAAAAATCCTTCGTAAAAAAGCCATACTTAATGGAGAAACATTATATTTTGACCCTCCAAATTCTGGAATAAGGCAAAGATACCCACTGTCACTTGCTGTCTCCATCTTTCCTAGAAGTCCTGGTCAGCCTTCTTCTAAAAGTTGAGGAAAACTAACTTCACATAGAAATAAACAATAGAGTCCCAGTGTGGTGGGTCATGCCCAGCACTTTGGGAGGCCAAGGCGGGCAGATCACAAGGTCAGAGATCGAGACTATCCTGGCCAACCTGGTGAAACCCCATCTCTACCAAAAATACAAAAATTAGCTTGACGTGGTGGCGGGTACCCGTAATCCCAGCTACTCAGGAGGCTGAGGCAGGAGAATTGCTTGAACCTGGGAGTCGGAGGTTGCAGTGAGCCAAGATGGTGCCACTGCACTCCAGCCTGGCAACAGAGTGAGACTCCATCTCAAAAAAAAAAAAGGAGAAATAAGCAATAGAGACTGGGCATGGTGGCTCACACCTGTAATCCCAGCACTTTGGGAGGCCAAGGGGGTGGATCATTTAAGGTCAGGGGTTCAAGATCAGCCTGGCCAACTTGGGGTGAAACCTCATCTCTACTGAAAATACAAAAATTAGCCAGGCATGATGGTGGGTGCCTGTAATCCCAGCAACTCAGGAGGTTGAGATGGGAGAATCCCTTAAACCCTAGAGACGGTGGTTGCAGTGAGCCTAGATCACGCCATTGCTCTCCAGCCTGGGCAGCTGAGCGAGACTCTGCCTCAAAAAATAAATAAATAAATAATTAAATAAATAAACAAACAAACAATACAGCCGGGCACAGGGGCTCACACCTGTAATCCCAGCACTTTGGGAGGCCAAGGAAGGAGGACTTGAGCCTAGTTGTTCAATACTAGCCTGGGCAACATAGTGAGACCCCGTCTTTACAAAAAATCAAAAAGTTAGCTGGATGTGATGGCACACACCTGTGGTTCTGGCTGCACAAGTGACTGAGGCAGGAGGATCACCTGAGCCCAGAAGGTCAAGGCTGCAGTGAGCCCTGTTTACGCCACTGCACTCCAGTCTGGGTGACAGAGTGAGGCCCAAGAAAGAAAGACAGAAAGAGAGAGAGAGAAAAAGAAAGAAAGAGAGAGAGAGGAAGGAAGGAAGGGAGGAAGGAAGGAAGGGAGGGAGGAAGGAAGGGAGGGAGGAAGGAAGGGAGGGAGGAAGGAAGGAAGGAAGGAATTAAGGAAGGAGAAGGGAAGGGAAAGGGAAGGGAAATAAGCAATAGAAAATCATCAAGGCAAAAAACCCATACAGGCCAGGATCACGCCTGTAATCGCAGCACTTTGGGATGCGGAGGTGGGTGGATCACTTGAGGTCAAGAGTTTGAGATGAGCCTGGCCAACATGGTGAAACCCCTTCTCTACTAAAAATACAAAAAAAAAATTAGCTGGGCATAGTGGTACATGCCTGTAATCTCCGCTACTCGGGAGGCTGAGGCAGGAGAATCACTTAAACCCAGGAGTGTGAGGCAGAGGTTGCCGTAAGCCGAGATCGTTCCACTGCACTCCAGCCTGGGCAACAGAGCAAGACTCCATCTCAGAAAACAAAACAAAACAACAACAAAAAACCCCACCCATGCAATGTTATTATAAGAAAAAAGAGAGGGGGGCGGGGAAAGCTGGGCACAGCGTCTCACACCTTCAATCCCAGCACTTTGGGAGGCCAAAGCAGGAGGATCACTTGAGGCCAGGAGTTGGAGATCAGCCTTGGCAACAAAGTGAGACCCCTTCTCTACAGAAAAATAAAGAAAAGAAAAAAGAGAATACGTAGCAAAATAACATTCCTACAGACAATGAACACACCAGAAAGATATGCCCACAAAACAGATTTTATAAAGTAATCTACTATATCAAAATGAGCTGAACGATATTGAGAAATTATATAAGATATGAAATAGCAATACATATCAGAACAGAAAAATTTAGAAATAAGGTGATAGCACTCAAGAAAATTTGAAATCAAATAACTTACTGCAGAAATGAAGACTAAACTAGAATGAATAAAAATTAACTTCCTTTTAATGATAAAACCAGGGAATTGTACATATCACTTCCACTCACACCTCACTGACCTGGCTACATGGCCACATCTAGCTGCCAGAGAAGCCAGGAAACAGGATTATAGCTGAACAAACACCTAGTAAAAGTTTCTATTTGTTACCGTAGAATAAAAGACAAATGGAGAAGACAGGGTACAATTTAGTAATCTTTCTATAAGTCCACCACTTTGGCTATACAAACACTTCTGTTCATCCATAGAAGGTAGATGATCCTAAAGTTTTATCCAATTAATGATTCCAGCTCAAAGTCAAGGATTTTTTTTTTTAGATTGAGACAGGGTCTTGCTCTGTTGCCCAGGCTAAAGTGCAGTGGCACAGTCATAGCTCACTGCAGCCTCAATCTCCCCAGGCTCAGATAATCCTCTCACCTCAGCCTCCCTAAGTAGCTGGGACCACAAGCACATGCCACAACACCCGGCTAATTTTTTGCATGTTTTTTGTTCTGTTTTGTTTTTTGTTTTTAGAGTCTGGGTTTTGCCATGATGCCTAGGCTGGTCTCAAACTCCTAGGCTCAAACAATCCACCCACCTCAGTCTCCCAAAGTGCTGGGATTATAGGCATGAGCCACTGTGCCTAGCCAAGTCCAGTATTTATAGGAGATGTGAAGCTCTCTCCGTCAGGGCTGGATAAACTTCTCTGTGTTCAATGGTCTATAAAATAAAGGACAAGTTATCTGGTCCCCACCACACGTGGGGATGTGTACAATGCTGGAGTGAAAACAGATAACTGCAACAAAAAAGCTCTAATTTGAAAAATGGGGGAAGGGAAATCTGTGCAGCAGCCAGTGGTCCACAACTATTGTTAAGTCCCACTAGATGGGCAAGAATCATGAAACTCCCTCCCTGACCATGGAGTGAATCCTTGGCTGGTCCATTTAACTCTGCTCATTTCCTCTTTGACCTTGACATTGACTACTTGGAGATTAATTATTCTCGATTTCAAGCGGGCTTTGGAATGTATGCACTTCCTACATTCTGCAGAGCCTTCACAGCTGGCTTCCTATGGTGCAGGTCTGGGGGACCAGGGGTTACTTTCAGGGTTGCAGACCAGGCTTGGAGTTTCTTTAGCAATCCAGCCTTCTCAAATACTTAGAAGGTTACAGGTTTATTTGTTCATGCTCAATTTGATGTTTCAGTAACTCCACCCAAAGAATGTCTTTTTTTTTTTTTTAACATTTGAAAACTCTTGCTTTTTCATCATTGGCTTTTGTACTGTGACATCTTTCTTTCTTTTTTTGAGATGGAATCTTGCTCTGTCGCCAGGCTGGAGTGCAGTGGCACGATCTCAGCTCACCGCAACCCCCACCTCCTGGGCTCAAGCGATTCCCCTGCCTCAGCCTCCCGAGTAGCTGGGACTACAGGCACACGCCACCACACCCAGCTAATTTTTTGTATTTTAGTAGAGACAGGGTTTCACCATGTTGGCCAGGATGGTCTTGATCTCCTGACCTCATGATCTGCCTGCCTCGGCCTCCCAAAGTGCTGGGATTACAGGCATGAGCCACCACACCCAGCCTGTGACATCTGTCTTTATTCAGCTTAATGATAATTCCCTTGAGGGCATATAAAATAATAGGCATAGAGATGAAGGCAACAGCTGTATTCTAATCATTGTGTAGCCAAGAACCCTTCCTGTAAGTCTTGAGGTCCCAGTCTATCTCTTGCTTAGAATGTCTTTACAAAGCCATCTCTTTTTCTTTTCTTTTCTTTTCTTTTTTTTTTTTTTTTTTTTTTTTTGAGACAGTGTCTCGCCACATTGCCCAGGCTGGTCTCAAACTCCTGGACAATCCTCCTACCTTGGATTCCCAAAGTGCTGGGATTAGAGGCATGAACCATTGCACCTGGCTGGTTTTTTACTTTTTTTTTTTTTTTTTTTTTTTTTTTTTTTTTCAGAGACAGGGTCTCTCTCTGTTGCTCAGGCTAGAGTGCAGTGGTGTGATCATAGCTCACTGCAGCCTTGAACTCCTGGGCTCAAGGGATCCTCCTGCCTCAGCCTCCCAAGTAGCTGGGGCTACAGGTGCTTACCACCAAGTCCAGCCTTAAAGCCATCTCTTATCTGGAATAAGCCACCTCTTCCCAGGTATTAAGGATGGTTCACCTCAAGGCTCCTTGTGCTGGGATCACCACCTTACACCAGGTAGCCCTTTTGGGAGGGATCTAAACAATCCTCTTTATCTGTTGTGTATGGCCACATCTGCTACGAGATTAGCCCCTTTGACCCACCACCCCAGAGGCTGCAGTTACTTCCCAAACACAGTCATACTTCTTTTCAGGCCCCTGGCCATCAGTTCTATTCATAGCCTATCACAAATCAAATCTCTTGAGTGAATCAGATACCAGTCTGCTGTCTTGCAAGCTACAAATGCTCACATCAAGCTGAGTGGTGCTATAGATGCCCCTCTCATTTGACCCCAAATGTGGGGGAAGCACCCTCTCTATCTCATCCCAAGGGAGACAGACCCATAGCACAAGTGGGTAGGAAATTATCTAAAGAAATTCTCTCTGATTTTCAACTCGCTCTCTTTGCCTTAAGGGCCAGGGTGGAGGTCCCCCAAGGCTCCCAAAGCTGGCTTTCAACGCCTCTTTCCACATCCGCCATAGGTGGTCTAAGAGGACTTCCTCTTGGCACTGAGGTTGGGATGGTGCTCCTTGGCTGAAATCAAGACGCAGAGAGGTCTGGTTTTCACATCCTGCCATGTTGGAGGGTGACAAACAACCCAGCAGAAGCCTTCAAACCTCAGGGATATTTTCTAACTGGGAACATAAGGCTAAATTAAGCGCTTCCTCTGTGGGAGGGAGTGTTTCAGGGGAGGGGGGTCACTTCATTCCAACTCTGTCTTCATGAATGAAAAAATAAATAAATAAAAAAGCATTCACCACGAACATCCTCCAAGCTCGGAAATTCCACGGTCAACTCAGCTTCCAACTCCACTTCCTGCTGCAAAAGGAAGATGGGTTCCATTCCAGATATTCTGGGCCCAGCCTTGGCCGTCTTCCCTGGTTGGTGTGTTTATTCGGCAGTTGCCACGTTTCTCCTCCACTCCTGCACCCCATCACAGCTTTCCTCCTCGCTAGCTGGACCCTGAGGGACAATGGAGAATGGGAGACTCCGTTTCAAAGGGCGCTTCCGGCCAGGCACAGTGGCTCACCCCTGTAATCCCAGCACTTTGGGAGGCCGAGGTGCAAGGATCATCTGAGGTCAAGAGTTCGAGTCCAGCCTGATCAACATAGGGAAACTCCATCTCTACTAAAAATACAAAAATTAACCGGGCATAGTGGCAGATGCCTGTAGTCCCAGCTACTCAGGAGGCTGAGGGAGGAGAATCGCTGGAACCCAGGAGCCAGAGGTTGCAGTGAGCCGAGATTGCACCATTGCACTCCAGCCTGTGCGACAGAGAGAGATTCGTCTCAAAAAAAAAAAAAAATTAAATTAGAAATTAAAAAAACAAAGGATGCTTCCTTCCTCCATCCATCCATCTCCCATTCTCAACTCCTTCTATGGCTTATGGAGCAAACCCTTCTTGGTGTCTCTCTGCCTCGTGCTCTACTTATCACCCAAGCCCCTGGAATCTGGCTGGCTTCTGCTCTCCTCACTCCACGGAAACTGTTGTTGCTTTGCTTTGTTTTAGATGGAGTCTCACTCTGTCGCCAGGGTGGAGTGCAGTGGCGTGATCTCGGCTCACTGCAACCTCCGCCTCCCGCTCTTGGGTTCAAGTGATTCTCCGGCCTCAGCCTCCCGAGTAGCTGGGATTACAGGTGCCCACCACCATGCCCGGCTAATTTTTGTTATTTTTAGTAGAGACGGGGTTTCACTATGTTGACCAGGATGGTCTCGGTCTCTTGACCTCGTGATCCGCCCGCCTCGGCCTCCCAAAATGCTGGGATTACAGGCGGGAGCCACCATGCCCGGCCGGAAACTGTTCTTTAATAGCTTCCTCGGTGGACCTTTGTACGGCCTCATCTCACTTACCCTCTTGGGAATATTTTGACTCACTGACCATTTCCTCCTTCCTTAGAAGTGTACTCGCTTTCTTTGGCACCTGCTCTTGGCTTTCACCTCTCTTGACACTCCTTCTCTGTCTCTTTCTTCCAGTTAACTCATAAATGTGACCATTCCTCCGGGTTTGGAGCTCAGACCACTACTCTCAAGCCACACTCTCTTCCTAGATGTGGCCTCATTTGCCATCCATATGTTAATCACCCACAGATTTCTATCTTCAGACTAGATGAGTCCCCTGACCTTTTATAAAAACTCCTGACTATTGTCTCTGCTTGGGTGAACCTCAAGCACGTCAAACAAAAATGTGTGTAAAAGGAAGCCCATTTCCCCACCCATAAAATCCCATATTTCTTTTTTAAAATTATCTGACTCACTGAAGGCACTCACATCAATCCAGTTGCTCAAGTCAGAAGTTGGATGTTTTACCCGGTTTTATCTCCCTGCTCACACTCCCCTATCTGGTCAAAAGCCAAACCCTCAAATTCATCTACTCAAATTTCAGCTGCAGCAGCCAGGGAGAGGTGGCTCACGCCTGTAATCCCAGCACTTTGGAAGGCTGAGGTGGGTGGATCACCTGAGGTCAGGACTTCGAGACCAGCCTGGCCAACATGGTGAAACCCCATCTGTACTGATAATACAAAAATTAGCCAGGTATGGGGGCACATGTCTGCAATCCCAGCTACTCGGTAGGCTGAGGCAGGAGAATCCCTTGAACCCAGGAGGCAGAGGTTGCATGAAGCCAAGATCGTGCCATTGCACCCCAGCCTGGGCGACAAGAGCAAAACTCTGTCTCCAAAAAATAAAAATAAGAATAAAAAATGTAAGCTGCAGTGATCTCCTAGGTGACTGCAATAGCTTCTACATGGTCCTTGGACCTTCAGTTCTGCCCTTCTCCAACCCATTCTCCATTCAGTGCTTCATTCATTTAAACAATATTTATGAGCACAAGGGCAGAGAAATTTGTCTAATATGAGAATCTAATTATGGCCAGCTGCGGTCACTCTGCCTGTAATCCCAGCACTTTGGGAGGCTGAGGCGGGTGGATCACCTGAGGTCAGGAGTTTGATACCAGCCTGGCCAACATGGTGAAACCCCATCTCTGCTAAAAATACAAAAATTAGCTGGGTGTGGAGGCAGGTGCCTGTAATCCAAGCTACTAGAGAGGCTAAGGCAGGAGAATCGCTTGAAACCGGGAGGCAGAGGTTGCAAATCACGCCATTCCACTCCAGCCTGGGTAATAAGAGCAAGACTCTGTCTCAAAAAGAAGAAGAAGAAGAAGAGGAAGAAAAGAAGAAGAAGAAGAAGAAGAAGAAGAAGAAGAAGAAGAAGAAGAAGAAGAAGAAGAGGAAGAAGAGGAAGAAGAGGAAGAAGAGGAAGAAGAGGAAGAAGAGGAAGAAGAAGAAGAAGAAGAAGAAGAAGAAGAAGAAGAAGAAGAAGAAGAAGAAGAAGAAGAAGAAGGAGAATAGGAAGAAGAGGAAGAAGAAGAAGAAGAAGAAAAAGAGGAAGAAGAAGAAGAGGAAGAAGAAGAAAACCTAATTCTGAGGCATCTTCCACCAACCCTGATCTGCCCTTGCTCTGCACCCTCCCATGTAGGCTTCAGGTCTCAGCTCACACCCTAACTGCCTCTCTGAAATGCCTTCTTGTGCCCCCCACAGCCTTGGGAAGGACCTCTCCTCTTCTTCCGTGAGCACCATGTCCTTGTGCCTCCTGCAGCGCTCACCACAGTGTAGGCTCCTGGAGAGCAGCAATGGGTCGTGGTCCCTGAGTTGTTCTACTCAGGAAATGTTGAGTGAAACATTAAATAACAAAACAGAACATTATTTGATAATTTTAGGGAAGGCTCCATGAAGGAGATGAGGCTTGCAATTGACTCGGAATCTGGCTGATCTGGATGGGTGAAGCAGTCCAGAAGAACATCGCATGGAGGGAAATAGCCTTGTTAGACAGGGTTGATTGTGCACGCTCGCTTCAGTGAAGAACACTGCTTGGAGCCAAGGTCAAAGTCAGGCAGGATGGGAATCTGAGGTCATAACTGTGGCCACAGGAAGTCACCGTCACAGGATCAGATCAAGGCTTAAAAAGAGCTTTCCTAAGAAGTTACAAATGCTTTTGACCCAGCAATCCCACTTCTTGGAATCTACTCTGAAATTACACCTCCACAAATCCAAAACAGTAAGATATTTCACTGTGGAGTTACTTGTAATAACAAATGATCAAAAACAACCCACATGTCTGTCTATAGGGGTGATATGGTTTGGATATTTGTCTCCTTCGAATCTCACATTGAAACGTAATCCCCAGTGTTGGAGGTGGGGCCTGGTGAGAGGTGTTTGGGTCATAGGGAAGGCCCTTCAGGAATGGCTTCGTGTCTTCCACATGGTGATGAGTGAGTCCCCACCCTGAGTTCACCCAAGATCTGATTGTTTATAAGATGTGGCACCTCCCCACTTGTTGTCTTGCTTATTCTCTTACCATGTGATACACTGCCCCCTCCCCCTTCCCCTTCTGCCATGATCGTAAGCTCCCCAAGGCCCCCGCCAGAAGCAGATGCCGGCACCACGCTTCCTGTACAGCCTTCAGAACTGTAAGCCAAAATAAATATCTTTTCTTTATAAATTACCCAGCCTCAGGTATTTCTTTATTGCAATGCAAGAAGGAACTAACACAAGGGGGCTGGTTGAATAAATTCTGCGGCATTTACACAGCTGTGCAAATGAAGGAGGATGATCACTATGCACTGACATGGAATGACTTCTAGGATGTATGGCAATGTGAAAAATGCAAAGTGCAAATAGCATTAATAATACATTTCCCATTATGCAAAAATAAAAGGTAAATAAGATATATAGATACAGATACAGATATAGATATAGATATAAAGAGTATGTGCATTAATTTTGCATAAATTAAACACTAGAAGGATAAACTAGAAATAAATAAAAAGTTACCAATGGGTGGCAGGAACTTGAGTGGAGAAGAAAGGGTTGAAAGTAAGACTTGCTGTGTTATAAAGCATTAACTTTTAAAGTACGAAAATATTTTACATATTCAAAAGCTAAATCAAAAAGAAAAAAGCAAACCCTAAAATTGAATGCAATCCAAAATAAATGGGCTGTGCAGGGTAGCTTACACCTGTAATCCCAGCACTTTAAGAGGCCACAGAGGTGGGAGGATCACATGAGCCAAGGAGTTTGAGACCAGCCTGGGCAACAAAGCGAGAACTCTATCTCTACAAAAAAAAAATTAATTAATAAATAATTATACCTGACTATGTATCAGGTTGATAGCAACCACTTAGGGAAAATATCATTATTTCAATTATCTTTGAATGTAGTATTCTGATTATATATTTATGGTAGGATAAAATCCCAAGACAAAATATATAAAAAAAAACTTAACCTTCATTCAGGAGGTTTATTTCTAAACTACTTTACGTATATTGTAAGATATATAATGTTGCTATTAACCAATATTTCCAGTGAGAGAAATGAGACAAATTTTTAAAGATCAAAGAAGTTTTTTAAAACTCCTATAATATTAAGTCTGAATAAAAAATATCAATAGGAGCTCATAATTTAAAAAAAAATTTCCTAACACTGTCCAAAGAAAGGACCTAAAAGCAATGACGGCACCCCCACATAGCAATCAGCACACCTAGCACCCAGCTCTTGCTTTCCAATTACCATTTTGCACTAAAAAGAACCACAGCTCTTTGAAGAAATGGCTGATTCCAGGAAAATACAAGGTGAGCCTAGAACATCATGTTCCAGAAAGCAAGGAAACACTCAGAGATTTAATTGGGTCATGACAACAGGACATACGACCAGGCATGAAGGGACTGCAATTGGCTACATTTAGGATACTCTGAACATCAAAGAGAGTAATGATTGTAATACACTGAATTATAATCATCCATAGGTCCATAATGATATTCCAAAAATCACTATTTTCAAATCCCCAATGTAATGATTGATTCAGGCCAGTCCCAAATGGTTGACATAAATGAGATATTTATAAGATGCCAAAACAAAATCTCACTTCTTAATTGCAAAGGGGGAAACATGCCTTTCAATTGATACGCTAATGGGCTTCACAAGCCATCAAAGGCAATTGAAAAATCTGATGCCGTGAGCCTTCTATTTGTGCCGAAGTATTTGTGCCGAAAATGTTCAATCTAATCAATATAGTAATATATAGGGCCTAAATGTAATCAAACCCTTAAAGATTACCTTCAGGTTACAGAAAAGTCGGGGAATACAGAGACAAGTGAAACAACATCACAAGGAAAGAGACTAATCCAGCGGTGGGATATTCCACAAGAAACTGGCCTGGATTCTTCAAAAAGTTAGAGTTATTAGGGAAAAAAATATTGAGGGGGTGGATGTTCTAGATTGAAAGAGATTAAAGAGGCATAAGAACCAAATACAATATGTGAACCTTAATCGGATCCTGGTTCAAAAAATAGACAACTACAAAAGCCAGTCTTTCTTTTTTTTTTTTTTTTTAACAATCCTAAATGTGATGATAACTACAAAAGCCACTCTTAGGACAATTGGGGAAATTGAATATGGACTAGACATTAGATGACATAATGCAATCATTATTAATTTCTTAGGTGTGAAATGTTATTGTGCTTACAAAGGAGACTGCCCTTGGCAGCCAGGTGGGGTGGCTCATGCCTGTAACCCCAGCATTTTGGGAGGCTGAGACAGGCGGATCACCTGAGGTCAGGAGTTCAAGACCAGTCTGGCCAACATGGTGAAACACCCGTCTTTACTAAAAATACAAAAATTAGCTGGGCATGGTGGCGCACACCTGTAGTCCCAGCTACCCGGGAGGCTGAGGCAGGAGAATTGCTCAAACTGGGGATTTGGAGCTTGCAGTGAGCTAAGATCGTGCCACTGCAATCCAAGCTGGGCAACAGAGCAAGACTCGATCTCAAAAAAGAAAAGGAGACTGCCCTTATTCTTAAGTGATGTATTCAAAAGTGTTCAGAGGTGAAATAGCATGATATCTGCAAATTACTTTTAAATGTTTCAGGAAAAAAGCATATATATGTATGTGTGTGTATATATATATATATATAATGCAAATATAAAAAATTATTACCCATTTTGAATATACGTGGTGGTGGGGTATATTGCATATAGGTACACAGGTGTTGGTTATACTGTCTTTCTACTTTTCCCATGCTGGGAAGTTGTAACAACACAAAGTTGAGGAAGTTAACGATTTCCTGTGGTGTTGGGGGTGGGAGGGAAAGCTTGCACTCAAGGAGTAGGTGTGGGATATTTATAATTATTCTTCTGCTTTCATTTTTAATTATTGTACACATAATTCGTGTTCATTGTAGAAAATTTCAAAAATGCAAATAAACACAAAGACATAAATAGAAATCACCCATAATCACAGTCCCCAGGAAAAAAGTTAATGCTGTAAATGTTTTCCTATATTCCCATCTGGTCTTTTTATATTTTTACTTCTCCTTCCTCCCAGACTTCAGAGTATGTTTAGGGCCATAATTACCCAGATAATTGTTTTTGCAGAACCTCAGAGCCCTGAAGTATCAAAGCAGGGAAGTGGCTGGAGCTGACAGTTTATCCCACCGTCCTGTTGAGTGACACCATCTGTGCCCCCAGCAGGCTCCAAGAGATAGCAGCTGAATGCTGTGTCAGCTGTGAGGCCTGGCACTGAGGGAGGGGCTGACATCTTCTGGGGAGTGATGGGGCTCTGGCCCCATTGCTGTGGCTGTCACAGAACCCAAGCCCCAGGCTCACACGTGCAAACACACTTCCACATCCATCTGTACACACACACACAGACATACAAACACACTTCCACATCCATCTGCACACACACAGACACACACACTTCCACATCCATCTGCACACACACAGACACACACACTTCCACATCCATCTACACACACACAAACACACAAACACACTTCCACATCCATCTGCACACACTCAGACACACAAACACATACAAACAAGCAAACACACCCCAACACCCAACATACAGCCACACACACAAACACACAGTCACACAAACACACTCGCCAAACTTTCTGTTACCCCTCAGAAATTAACTGGGAAAGTAACTGGCATCTTGCCTTTCTCTTTGATAATTGAGAACAAAAAGTAAATATTTTTCCCTTCTCCCTTCTCAGGAAGGGCAGTCAGAGGAAGAAAGCAGTTGACAAGTTTTTTGTATCTCTTAGGCTACCATGAAACATGTCCCTGTGAGGTCTGGGCCAAGGGGTGGAAGTGTTGATTCTTTGATACAAAGAGGAGAATGACCCAATCACAGCTGATGGCCACCAGGACCTGCAAACCAGATGACAGTCAGAGGCTCTCCTGGTTGACTTTAAAACCAGCCTGCAGAGGAGGATAATCAAGCAATCAAGCACGCTTATTTTAATTTTGCAAAGCCAAGTGACTTTTTTTTTCACCAGGGTGTTGTACGGTAACTCACACCTGTGGTCCCAAAAACAGCTAGGCGTTTGGAAGAAGCAGTGACTTGAGCATTTAAAGTCTAGCTCTGGCCTAATTCACAGAGGGGCTAGAAAGTAATTCACATTGGAGTGTCCCTCTCTGGTCCACTGGACAAAGAGACCAGCCTGGTATACCCCCATGCCCATCAGGCACTGGCCATGGCCCGTGGAAGGCAGATTTAGTGCAGGGAGAAGGAACAGCTGGAAGCCGTTAGCAGCAAATACTCATTCGCTGCTGCTGGGGAACAGCCCATCTGCAGCCAAAGGAGATCCAGGCAGTGCCAGATCATCCTCTATGTGCACCTTTTGAACCAGCAAAAGCTCCAAGCAGGTGGTTCGCACACTTGAGTGAGAATCAGAATCACCCGGCAGACTTCTTAAACCACACATTGCTGGGGGCACCCCGAGAGTTTCTGATTCAGCAGGTATAGAATGCGGCCCGAAAATTTGCATTTCTAACCAGTTCCCAAGTAATTGCTGGTTCTGTTGGTCTGGAGCTCACATTTTGAAAACCACAGCTCTAAGCATATGGGACCGGTAATTTCCACCAATTAAAGGCTGAGTTATGAGCACAGATGGGAATTTCCTGATAAAATCATTGTTAAAATGATGTGCTGAAGCCTCCTGTACACTGATTTGAGGCAGAGATAGGGCCCAAAGAAATAAAGAACTGGCTTAAGCAAAAAGGGAATTCATTGGTTCATAAAACTTAAAGGCTCCAAGGCAGCAGCTTCAGGAATGGTTCGATCGAGGCTCAAATAATGTCTCTCCATCTCCCAGCCTTGCCTCTTTCAGGTTGGCTCCTGTCCCAGATTTGAAAGGGTGGCGCAGCTCCAGACCTCACTTCCTCTCTGCAGGTCCAGCAAGAAACAGCCTTTTCTAGGTTAGTCAAGTTCCAGAATTAGTTTTGGGTAAGCCTAACTGGCTGATTGGCTTAGGTGGAGGTCACAGGTGCCTCCCGTGAGCAAGCCAGGAATGGAGAAGAAGGCTTAGCTGCCACAGCATTGGGCTCTGACCCTGGCTGGGAGCCAGAGACTTCCCCAAATGAAGAAGAGAGCAGCAGGAAAGCCCTGGCTACACACCCTGGAGCAATTGGTTATCAGACTCTGAAAGCCAGATTTGAGTCAGCCATGTTCCTGACCTCCATACCACACCAACGGCTCCCAGGAAATGGTACTAACATTCAGCCCCATTCACAGCTAAAGTAGGGCAGAAAGGCATGGCTATTTGTGAGAAGCCCAAGGCCCCGAGAGCTGAAGGGACATGTCCATTGACACAACTCATTAAAAGCAGTCCCAGATTTGAGCCCAAGCCTCCTGACCAATGCCCTGGGTGGTGCTCCAGGAAGACTATCACAAGCAGGGAGGGGCCTCACTCCTAGCAGCAGGTCAGTGGAGCAAAGTTTCAGGGACTCTCATCCCAGCCAGGGTTCTTCCTTTTGCAAAGAAAGGAACACTGCGTGAAGTGGCTTCAGCAAAAAGAGAATTCACTGGTTCATAAAACTTAAAGGCGCCAAGGCAGCAGCTTCAGGAATGGTTCAATCAAGGCTCAAATGATGTCTCCCCATCTCCCAGCCTTGCCTCTTTCAGGTTGGCTCCTGTCTTAGATTTAAAAGGGTGGCACAGCTTCAGACCTCACTTCCTCTCTGCAGGTCCAGCAAGAAACAGCCTCTTCTAGGTTAGTCAAGTTCCAGAATCAGCTTTGGGTAAGCCTGACTGGCTGACTGGCTTAGGCAGAGGTCACAGGTGCCTCCCCTGAGTAGGGAAGGAGGACAAGCTCCCTAAGGGAAAATCTGCTGCCAGGAAAAGATAGAGGGAAGGTTGACCAGCAGAGCCAGCGGATGTCCCCCTCAGAGAATGCTGCCTACTTGTCGGCTTGCCTGGTTGCCTGGTTATCTAGTTGTTTGGTTGCCTGTCGTCTGGTTATCTGGTTGCCTAGTTGTCTAATTGTATACTTGTCTGGTTACCTAGTTACCTGGTCACCGGGGGCCTGTGTGGGGATGAGCCTCTCTGGCTGACTGTCTTACCTCCATCAAGCCCCGAAGCTGAAGGAGAAAAAGACACAATGTGTAGGCCCCTGGTGCCCAATTCCCTGAGGATGGAGTACCCGGTGGGTGTGTTTGGGGGGCCTGGGGGAGGGTCCCCACTTCTTCTGTGGTGTTCTCCAAGGAGATTGGGAGTGGGCTCTGGCCTGAGTTCCTGGACATCTGGTCCCTGACCTGGCTGTCCCAAGGGATTGAGGGCTACAAAGATAGATCAGGGGTACAACATAGAGCAAAGATCTTTCTACCAGTCAGGGACCCGGAAGGAAATAGTTACAAATTCAAATTCGGATAATTCTGGGAGAGTTTAATAAAGGAACCATTCACAAAGGATGGTCAGGGTATTGGGAGATCTCAAGGGAGGGAACAGTAGTGACAGCTGGAATCTGTGACCACCCAAGGCCTGGCAGTCCAAGGGGAGGGAGCTGCTAGCGGGGAGGGTTAGAACCCAGAGGCAGAAAGGGCTGAGCGGGGAGAGCTGCCTGACAAGCAGCTGGCACCTGGGGCAGGGACACAGCCAGGCTACAGCAGCCCCAGGAGGGAGCTGGCGGGTAAATGCCCACCTCTCTCACTCCTCCCTCTCTTCCATTGGTCATACCCAACCAGAAGCAAAAGCACAGGTAGCCCACAGAGGCAGCCACCCAGCTCAGCCTTGTGGGGCACAGGGCGATGGAGAAGACAGTGGATCTGGAGAGCCTAGAACAGCCCCAAGCACGGGAAGTCTGTCTGGGGGTGCTCCTGGGGCTGCTAGGAGCTAAATCCAAAGATCTGGTGGTTGTTCAGGAAACAGGAAAAGGACCCCTCAGGATCAGGCCCACATGCCAGAGCGAGTCCCTCAGCAGGCAAGGCAAACACTGCAATAGAGTAAGGACAAGCTCAGGGCCAGCCAGGCCATAGGCAGAAAATGCCCCATCAACTGCCAGGACTCCAGGGGCCTGGAGAACCCAGAGGAATTTCAGGAGGCCCTGAAGTTAGGCCAGCTGGACAGAGGGCCCTGAGCTTCACCCATCTCCGAAAACAACAATTGTCCTGAGCTGAGTAAAGAGGCTCGTTTTGTCTTTGTGTCCTTGATCTGGGCAGCTCCAGGGCTCCTCACTGGTGCAAGGAAAGGAGGTGATCCTGTCTCGCTAAGAGCTCAGGCTGCAGGCAGAGCTGGCTTCAAGAGTGCACAGCCTGTGCAGCAGTGCAGGGCCCCGTGCTTAGTTGAATTCTCTTCTGTTGTTGCCTTGAAATTCTTCCTAACTTTTGGACGAGGAGCCCTCCATTTTCATTTTGCACAGGGCTCTTTGCCAGTCCTGACTGCAGCTTGCCACCTATTTCAATACGAGGAAATGGGAGAGGGCAATGCTGAAGCCAGGGGTTTCATGCACAGACAGTATGACAGTCTGGCAGGGAGATATTTAGGCTGGTTGGGCGGGGGGCATTTTTGGAGCCCCTTACATCAAGTCACATAGATAAATGCCTACTGCATCCAAGGGCCAGATTAGCCCCACACAGAACATGAAGATAAAGGGCAGAGAAACCCCCAGGAAGCAACCACAAGAAAGAGTGGGGTCCTGATGACAGTGACTTTGGACAAGGTCTATGCCCCTCACCCACCCACCCAGGAAAGTGCAGGTCCCTCTGGCCCTGCAGGCTGCAGGCTGAGGGGCTGAGTCACCTCCAGGTCCCCAGCTTGAGATGGTCCAGGTTCTCAGAGGCTATGAAGAACTCACTGCCCTGCCAAGGTGCCAGGGTTACTGGCAGCCCCAGGCTCCTGGTGTCCTCTTACATCCTATGACATCAATTCAGGCGTCTCAGGTGCCGGCCTGGGTGGCAGAGCAGAGAGCCACCATGTGAGCCAGGCCCACGTCTTTCATCTACTGCCCAGTATTCCTGATACGGCTACTCCTGTGGGTAGGCGAGTTACAGAGACAGCACCCCAACAGCACCCCAACATCTGAGGCCCCCTTCTACGCAGGGTACTAACAAGGCCTCCCAACAGTGCCATGAGGTAGGCATTATTATCATCCCCAATTTACAGAGATTTATGGCCCTGGTACCACAGTGGATACCAGCAGCCAGAGAAAGCCCCAGGCAAAGACACACAGGTTCTGGCAGATGGAAGCCACGAAGTCAGAGGATTGGTGGGACTCAGACAGCACCTACTACACCCGGCACGGAGATGGGCCTGTGGGCAACTGCCTCTTGCACTTGGCAGTGCAGATGGGGAAGCAGAGTTGCTGCATATCAGGCACCTACTGTTTGCATGATCCTAGGCTAAAATCTCTTTATACATGAGGTCTCCGACTCTCATAACCGCCCCATGAGAAAAGTCTTATTAACTGCTCCCATTTCATAGATGAGGGGCTCAAAATGATGTATCTTGCCCACATCACGCCCAGACGGTAAATGGCAGGGCTGAAATTCGAACCCAGGTGGGTCCGACCCCAGGGAACGTACAGAGACAGAGAGAGAGGAGCCCGTGCAAGATGCACCTGGCAGGAGATACTGCTCAGCAAATGAAGGACCTTTCATGTCCTAGGGAGCTGCTGAAGAATTCTGAACCAGTGACACCATCAGGTATGAGGTTTCCAGAGGTCATGCAGGGTATGTGGGGAGAACTGAAGGGGGCTTACAGCAACACTGGAGGCCGGAAGGGCAGTGAGAGGCTTTTGCAATTTGCGGGTGCTTTTCATCAGCCATGGTTACCTTGTGGTCCTGTGCTGTCCCCAAGCGGTAGTTCGGCAGAATTGATTCCTTCACTGAGGACCTTCTTGTTCAGCCTGGAGCACGCATTAGAATCAGCGGGAGGGTTTATTAACACAGAGGTATGGGGTGGGCCCAAGAATGTGCCTTTCTAACGAGTTTCCAGGTGATGCTGATGGTCTGGAGACCACAGTTTGAAAACCACAGGCTTAATTGCTTTCAAGGGGCCACGCAATCAGGCTGCCTCGTGGGGAGAAGGCGGTTACAGAGGATCCTGGCCTCAGAGCTGTGACCTCAGAAGGGAGGCGCCTGAAGCAAGTAGGGAAGGCTTCTGAGGGCATGGGGTCCGAGAACCATTAGGACTCAAAGGAGCCAAATTTCAGGGGAGGCAGGAGCTTGGGGAAACCTGTAAAGTGGCTGCCCCGCTTTCATACGTCATTTCTGCATCTTAAACAATAGAAAGCAGGCTGGGTGCCAGGCGCAGTAGCTCATGCCTGTAATCCCAGCACTTTGGGAGGCCAAGGCAGTGGATCACTTGAGGTCAGGAGTTCGAGACCAGCCTGGCCAACATGGTGAAACCCCGTTTCTACTAAAAATACAAAATTTAGCTGGGCATGGTGGCACGTGCCTGTCATCCCAGCTACTCAGGAGGCTGAAACAGGAGAATCACTTGAGGGAGGCGGAGGTTGCAGTGAGCTGTGATCACGCCACTGTACTCCAGACTGGGTGACAGAGCAAGACTCTATCAGAAAGAATGAGAGAGAGAGAGAGAGAGAGAGAAAGGAAGAAAACAAACAGGCTGGGTTTGGTGGTGCACGCCTGCAATCTTAGCGACTCAGGAGACCAAGCAGGAGGATCGCTTGAGGACATGAGTTCGAAGCTGCAGTGAGCTATGGTCATGCCACTGCACTCTAGCCTGGGTGACAGAGCAAGATGCTGTCTCTAAATAACAATAATAGTAGTAGTAAAAAGCATTTTCTATTAGTGTTCTAAGCACTTTACGTGTCTTAATTCAATCAACTCTACAAGTTTGCGAAGGAATAAATTCTGATATTATCCTCCAGTTAGGGGCTGATTTATGTCCCCCTCCAAATTCATGTATTGGAGTCCTGACCCCAGTCCCTCAGAATGTGACTGTATTGGAAGATAGGGTCTTTGGAGAGGTAATTAAGATGAGGCTGCTAGGATGGGCCCTAATACAATATGACTGGTGTACTTCTAAGAAGAGGAAATTTGGACACAGACACAGACAGAGGGAAGATCCTGTGAGGACACAGGGAGAAGGTGGCCGCCTATCGGCCAAGGAGAAAGGCCTCCAACAAACCAGCCCTGAGACACCTTGAGCTCAGACTCCCAGCCTCCAGAACTGTGAGTAGATACATTTCTGTTGTTTAAGCAGTCCATTCTGTTGTACTGTGTTCTGGCAGCCCTAGCAAACTGATACACCCTCATGTTACAGGTAAGGAAACTGAGGCACACAGGGGTTAAATAATGGGCCCAGTTGCTTCTTGAACTCAAGTAGTCTGAGTAGTAATTAGTTCCCTCCCTGAGGGCTCTATAGATCTGGGGCCGACGTCTGGTTGAGACCCACACCAAACGCCACACAGTAAGAGTTGCTCCCCCAAGCCTAGCATCAGTCATAGCTTATGCTGCAACAAAGACACACAATTCAGTGGGACATAATTTAGGTCCAAGCCATGTTTTGTTTTGTTTTGTTTTGAGTCGGAGTCTCACTCTGTCGCCCAGGCTGGAGTACGATGGCATGATCTTGGCTCACTGCAACCTCCGCCTCCTGGGTTCAAGCAATTCTCCTGCCTCAGCCTTTCAAGTAGCTGGGATTACAGGCGCCTGCCACCAGGCCCGGCTAATTTTTGTATTTTTAATAGAGACGGGGTTTCACCGTATTGGTCAGGCTGGTCATGAAAACCTGACCTCGTTATCTGCCCACCTCAGCCTCCCAAAGTGCTGGGATTACAAGTGTGAGCCACCATGCCTGGCCCCAAGCCAAGGTTTTTTGTGGGTTTTTTCTTTCTTTTCTTTTTGAGACAGGGTCTCACTCTGTTGCCCAGGCTGGAGTGCAGTGGCATGATCTCAGCTCACTGTAGCCTCGATCTCCTGGGCTCAAGCAATCCTCTCACTTCAGCCTCTAGAGTAGCTGGGACTGCAGGCAAGCCACCATCCCTGGCTAATTTTTACATTTTTTGTGGAGTTGGGGTCTTGCCATCTTGCCCAGGCTGGTCTTGAACTCCTGGGCTCACCCAGCACTGGGAACTCCTGCCTCAGCCTTCCAAAGTGCTGGGATTACAGGTGTGAGCCACCATGGCTGGCCTTTTTTTGAGCCAGTAGGCGCTGTGCTGCTCCCAATCGTGAGTGAGTGAGTCTTGCTCTCAGCCCTTCTCCTCTGCTGCCTTTCCCCCGCACCACCACAGAGCAAGAGCTTCTCAATCTCCTTGGACTATGAAGATGGTTAGCCAAACTCATCTTCTCTCCCTATGCGCTTCCTACTTCCATCCCCTCTGCCCCACTGCAGCGCCTGAGAGGGTTTTCTCTGGCCCTCTTCAGCCTCATCCCTCCCCTGCCTAAAGCCTTAAGGATGCAATATTTTTTTTTTTTTAAAGACAGAATCTCGCTTTATGCCCCATGCTGGAGTACAGTGGTGCAATCTCGGCTCACTGCAAACTCCGCCTCCCGGGTTCAAGTGCTTCTTCTGCCTCAGCCTCCCGAGTAGCTGGGATTACAGGCACCGACCACCATGCCCACCTAATTTTTGTATTTTTAGTAGAGACAGGGTTTCACCATGTTGGCCAGGCTGGTCTCAAACTCATGATATCAGGTGATCCACCCACCTCGGCCTCCTAAAGTGCTGGGATTACAGGCGTGAGCCACCGCGCCTGGCCAAGGTTGCAACTTTTAAATGCCCATTGCAGATGTCATGACACACACTCTTCGATACCCCAACACATGTGGTCATCCCACAGAGGCACAATGGACCCCAACAGTTGGCACAGCAAGCAGGGCATGTGGGCAGTGACCGTGATGGCAGGGGTCTCTCTTCCCTCGCTTTGGCTTGTGAACTGGCTCTGCTGCCTGCTGGCGACCTGCCCTCTGCGCCTCTGCCCGCTGATTCGTTTGTGTTTGGAGCTGTGCTGCTTTGTGCTGATTGGCCAAGTCCTCTGAGCGTCTGTTACAGATTTTACCAGGGCAAGCTGGAAGTTTCAGTAATTGGTGTTTAGGGACAGAAGTATGGGATTGGAGCCCTCTTTAACGTGGCTCTGGGTCATGGACCTTGGCATGGCCCTATCTGTGTGTCTCACTGAATTGTGTGGTTCCAGCATAAGCTATGGCTGATGCTGGGCTCAGCGGAGCAACTCTTACTGTGGGGCCTTTGGCTGTGAGTCTCAACCAGACATTGGACCCGAATCTGCAGAGCACTCAGGGGAACTAGTAACACCTTGTGCAGTATTTCCACCCAATGATGGTCACTCATGGGGTGCAGGAGCTGTCACCATGTGGCCTGCTGAGGTCCACACCCCTAAAAGGTGATGGCTTTCCAAGTGCCACCTGCTGCTGCTGCTGCTACCTGTGCCTCTCTCACACCAAAGACCCTGATCCCCAGGGTTATAAGAAAAAGACATCCATGACATCCCATGGACAGACTCCTGTGAAAAAGGCCTGAATGCTTTATCTCAGCCCCTCCTAAGGGGTTAGAGGATACCCTGGCCCTATTGGACAGCTGTAAAATGGACCAACAAAGATTCTGGGGTCAGCTGAGTGCCACAACTTATCAACACGCAACAGGGCTGCTCTGCCCCCGTGAAGTCTGTGTCCCTTAGCCAACAAGGTAACCACTGCCCTGGAGGAGGCGCGCCCTGACCATGCTAATGTGAGACCCTCTGAAGGATGAAGCTTACAAATATGGCAAAGATGGAGGGGACCTGCCTCAAACCACAGTGAGTAACCACCTCCCTCCAGATACCTGGATACAGGGGGAGAAAACAAAAAACCAAGGTCCACAGTTGGGGATGACCCAAGTAGAAATCCAAAATAATTTTTTGGTTTTTGAGACAGCGTCTCGCTCTGTCACCTAGGCTGGAGTGCAGTGGCACAATCTTGGCTCACTGCAACCTCCGCCTCCCGGGTTCAAGCAATTCTCCTGCCTCAGCCTCCGAAGTTGCTGGGACTACAGGCGGGAGCCACCGCGCCCAGCTAATGTTTGTATTTTTAGTAGAGATGGAGGTTTGCCATGTTGACCAGGCTGGTCTCAAACTCCTGGCCTCAGGTGATCCACCCACCTCGGCCTCCCAAAGTGTTGGGGTTACAGGCGTGAGCCACCGCGCCCAGCCGGGAATCCAAAATTTACTGAAAGAATTTATACAACAAAAACATGAAAGGGTGCCGAATGGCTTTTGCGCCTCTACAACATGAGTTTTGAATTAAGTTCAACATCTGCTGAAATGTACCAATTGGGAAAATGTCATTTTCTTAATCCTGGGGCTCAAATTACAGTTATACCAGTGATCCCACTAAATTAAGACAAGGTACCCTTTGTAATCTTAGGGAAGTTACTAAATATGACAGGAGAAACAGGTATGCCTCGCCTTAACCATCTGAACTATTGCCTTGCCTAAATTCCCTGTAGTCATAGCACCCATTATTCTAAAATGTCCTATAATGGGCATGGACTCTCTGATCCAATGACTAATACATTAAAATTCATTTAAGTCTTTGGCACTTAACAATCAGGTTGACAAAATGGGACCCCATGGACCCACCTCTTCCTTTTCATTTAAAATAGTTAATGTGGCCCAACATAAATTAAAGCAGGGCCTTCAAGGATTAAAACTCATTATACAAGATTTATTCAGAAAAGGGGTGATTATCCACACTGTTTCTCCATTTAATAGCCTGTTTGTGAACCTGGAAAGGATGAGTGGTGCCTCACAGTGAATTACCACAATACTTTTTTTTTTTTTTTTTTTTTTGAGACAGGGTCTCGCTCTGACGCCCAGGCTGGAGTGCAGTGGTGCAATCTTGGCTCACTGCAACCTCCGCCTCCTGGGTTCAAGTGATTCTCCTGCCTCAGCCTCCTGAGCTGGGATTACAGGTGCCTGCCACGACACCCAGCTAATTTTTGTATTTTTAGTAGAGACGGGGTTTCACCATGTTGATCAGGCTGGTCTCAAACTCCTAACCTCAAGTGATCCACTCACCTCGGCCTCCCAAAGTGCTGGGATTACAGGCTTGAGCCACCGAGCCCAGCCCTTTGCCCATTTTTAAAATTGGGTTGTTTGTCTTTTTGTTGTTGGGTTGTAGGTGTTCTTTATATATTCAGGATATTACAACCTAATCAAATATGATTTACAGATATTTTCTACCATTCTGTCAGTTGTCTTTTTACTCTGCAATAGTACCCATTCTTGATGGGGCTATTTTTTTTTTATTATTGAACTGAAAAAGTTCTTTAGAGGACTTGTCTAGAGACAAGTCCATCATCGGATATATGAATTGCAAAAAAAAATTTTTTTATTCTGTAGGCTGTGTCTTCACTTGCTCCTGGTGTCCTTTGAAGCACAAACATTTTTAATTTTGACAATGAATACTGGGCTCTTGGAAAAGATGTTTAACAGAACTTTCACCTCCTTTATTGGCCTCAGACTCAAGGTCTCATAGGGCACCATAATGGTTCACTTAAACAAGTTCAAATGAAATCAAATGAAACATGGCACCTTTCAGTCAGCAGTCGAGCATCGGGGTGAACTGTAATGAGTCTGACTCCATTTTTTTTTTTTTTTTTTTTTGAGACGGAGTTTCACTCTTGTTGCCCAGGCTGCAGTGCAATGGCACGATCTCGGCTCACTGCAACCTCCCCCTCCCAGCTTCAAGTGATTCTCCCACCGCAGCCTCCCAAGTAGCTGGGATTACAGGCATGCGCCACCACGTCCGGCTAATTTTGTATTTTTAGTAGACACGGGGTTTCTCCATGTTGGTCAGGCTGGTCTCGAAATCCTGACCTCAGGTGATCCTCCCAACCCGGCCTCCTAGAGTGCTGGGATGACAGGCGTAAGCCACCGCGCCCAGCCAATTCTGACTCCATTTTTGATGATTAACTGCTGACAGCTGTCAAGCCCCATCCCTCCCTTTTCCCCTCTTGCCGTATAGCTGGACAAACCAATAAAAAAGCCCAGCTGCTCCCTCCCTTGCTGCTGGCAGATAGTTTCACCCACACAAACCCAGCCCATGGGTAGGGGCCCTCACCCCAGCCTCCCTTCCAAACACAAAGCCAGGCCAGCTGCCCCTGTCTGCATTCTCAAGCTACTTTGGGGCCTGTTTAGGAACCTGCTGTACTCTCCCCAGAATGGCTCATTACATGAGTCACAAATCTTTTCATGCCTTCTCGGTGTGCAGATAGCATCATCAGTCTCAACATCCAAACCAAATTTCACGTGGGTTAGGGGAGATCTATCCCACATCTGTGGGGTGATCACAGCAATGCACATCTCCTAAAACTCTCAACATCCTCCTACGTCAAGGCCAATACCACGGCTAAAATAATTAACAGTAAGTGGTGCTGATTATTTAAATCTATATACAAATATCCCCAGTTGTTTCCAAAATGTCTTATGTAGCTACATTGTTTTGATTTGTATTTTCTTAAATCAAAATCTAATTATTGTTTGTATCAGGTTTCTGTCTCTTTTGTGTCCTTTAATCTAGAACTGGACCATTCAATACAGAAGCCGCAAGTGGTTAGTGGCTATTAAGAACTTGAAATGTGCCTGATCCAAACTGAGATGTGCCATAAGTATAAAACCCACAATGAATTTCAAAGAACTAGTACTCACAAAAAGTAATGTAAAATAGCTCATTAATAAATTTTTTATGGCTTACATATAGAACTGAAAATTTTTTTGATATATTGAGGGTGAGGCAGAATAATGCACCCCAAAGATGTCCATGCCCTAATCCCTAGAACGTGTGAGAATATATTACTGTACAGAGCAAAATAGATTTTGCAGCTGTGACTAAGTTTAAGGATTTTACTATAGGGAGATTATACTGAATTATCTAGGTGGGTCCAATCTAATCACATGAGTTCTTAAAAGCAATGAACCTTTCCCAACTGTATCGGGGAGATGCAACCTGAGAAGTACTTGACCTGCCATTGCTGGCTTCAAAGATGAAGAAAGAAAACCAGAAGCCAAGAAATACAGCAGTCTCTGGAAGCTAAGAACATCCCTCAGCGTACAGCTAGCAAGAAAACAAGGACCTCAGCAAGGTAGTAAATTCTGCCAACAACCCAAATGAGCAAGAAATTGATTCTCTCCCAGAACCTCCAGAAAAGAACACAGCCTACCACGCCTTGGTTTTAGTCTGATGAGACCTGTATCGGACTTCTGACCTATAGCACCGTAAGATAACAAATTACTAATAAGTTTATGACAGCAGTAATAAAAAAACTATTACACTAGGTTAATTATTTATTCTAATTTAATATTAATAAATTAGTAACAATTATTAAAACTAATTTAACCAGTTTCTTTTTACATTTTTGGTTTTTTTTTTTTTTGAGACAGAGTTTCACTCTTGTTGCCCAGGCTGGAGTACAATGGCGCGATCTGGGCTCACCACAACCTCTGCCTCCCAGGTTCAAGTGATTCTCCTGCCTCAGCCTCCTGAGTAGTTGGGATTACAGGCATGCGCCACCACGCCCAGCTAATTTTGTATTTTTAGTAGAGACAGGGTTTCTCCATGTTGGTCAGGCTGGCCTTGAACACCTGACCTCAGGTGATCCACCCACCTCAGCCTCCCAAAGTGCTGAGATTACATGCGTGAGCCACCACACCTGGCCTTTACTTTTTTAATGTGACTACTAGAAAATTAAAAGTTACATACTGTATATGACTCACATTTGTGGTTCACTTTGTTTCTGTTAAACAGTGCTGATCACACACAGGCACATCACATATTTTTTAACCCATGACACTACATTGACTTTGTATATATAGAGAGAGACGAGGTCACTATGTTGATAAAGCTGGAGTGCAGTGGCACAACACAGAGAGAGACCTTGATTATAGCTTACTATAGCATCCAGCTCCTGGGTTCAAGCAATTCTTCCACCTCAGCCTCCCAAGCAGCTGGGACTACAGGCACCACTGCCTCTGGCTTGACATAGACTTTTTGAGGACAGCACACTAGTTGTCTTGCAGAATATTCCCCCTACTCTGGACTTGTCAGATTGCTTTATCATGGTGTCATTTAACTTACTCCTCTACCCTGTATATTCCCTGTAACCTGGAAGTTCATTTAAACAGTTTCATTAGATATGGGTTAAACATTTTTGGCAAGAATACAAAGGTGGCACTATGACGTCATGTTGTATGTATCACATCAGGAAGCTCATAATGTTTGGTTGTCTGACTATAAATGATGCAAGTTCGATTATTAGTTAAGGTCGTGTTGTGAGTTGAACTGTGTCCCCCCAAAAGATAAACTGAATTCCAAACCCCTGGTACCGGTGAATGTGACTTTATTTGAAAATAGTGGTTTTTGCAGATATAATCAAGCTAAGATGAAATCATACTGGATTAGGGTGGGCCTAATCCCATACTGTCCTTACAAGAGAGAAATTTGGACACCAAGACACAGAGACGTTCAGGGTGGATGCCAAGTGATGACAGAGGCAGAGGCTGGTGATGTGTCTATAAGGCCAAGAATGCCAAGCATCGCTGGCAACCACCAGAAGCCAAGAAAGAGGCATGGAACTGATTCTTCTTCAGAGCTCCCAGAAGGAACCAACCCTGCTGACACAATGATTCAGACCTCTGGCCTCCAGAACGGAGAGAATACTTTTCTATTGTTTTAATCCTATTGTTTATTCTATTGTTTAAATTATTGTAATAATTTGCTACAGCAGCCCCAGGAAATAAGTTCAGGTGGTGACATCAGATCTTTCTAACACAAAGGGAAGAAGGGCCGGGCACGGTGGCTCACACCTGTAATCCCAGCACTTTGGGAGGCTGAGGTGGGCGGATCACCTGAGGTCAGGAGTTCAAGACCAGCCTGACCAACATGGTGAAACCCCGTCTTTACTAAAAACACAAAAATTAGCCGGGTGTGGTGGCGCATGCCTGTAATCCCAGCTACTCGGGAGGCTGAGGCAGTAGAATCGCTTGAACCAGGGAGGCAGAGGTTGCAGTGAGCCGAGATCACGCGACTGCACTCCAGCCTGGGTGACAGAGCAAGACTCCATCTCAAAAAAATAAATAAATAAAAGGGAAGAGGTTTATAGTAATATTCCATTGTGGTTTAATTTGCATTTCCCTATGACTAGTAATGTTGAGCATTGAACATCTTTGTGTGAATTTATTTGCCATGTGTTTCTCTTCTTTGGTGAAGAATGTTTTCCCATTTTTGTTTAAGTTGTTGGTTTTCTTAATATTGAGTTTTAAAAGGTTTTTTAAAAAATATTCTAAACATACATCTTTTATCAGTTATTTAACTTGCAAATATTCTTCTTCCAGTTTGTGGCTTGTCTTTTTGTTCTCTCAAAAGTGCCTTTCAAAGAACAGGAGTTATGGCTGGGTATGGTGGCTCACACCTGTAATCCTAGCACTTTGGGAGGCCGAGATGGGTCGATCGTTTGAGGTCAGGAGTTCTAGACCAGCCTGGCCAACATGGTGAAACCCCGTCTCTACTAAAAACACAAAAATTAGCTGGGCATGGTGGCAGGCGCTTATAATCCCAGCTACTTGCAAGGCGGAGGCTCGAGAATCACTTGGACCCGGTGGCAGAGTGAGACTCTGACTCAAAAAAAAGAGAACAGAAACAAGATCACAATATTTTCCCCTGTGTTTTATTTTTAAAGTTTTATAGTTTTAGGTCTATGATCGCTTTTGAGTTTATTTTTATATGGTGCCAAGTATAGATAAAAGGTTCATTTTTCTGTATATGGATAAACAAATGTTCATGCACTGTTTGTTAAAACAGAAACTACCCTTTCTCCAGTGAATTGCCTTTGCACCACTGTCAAAAATCAATCGGCCATATATGAGAAGGTCTATTTCTGTACTGTATTATGTTTCATTGTTCTGTTTTTCTTTCTTGATGCCAATTTCACACTGTCTTGATTAATGCCAGTTTCTAAGTCTTAAAGTCAAGTAGTGTAAATCCAACTTTATTCTTCTTTTACAAACTGGTTTTAGCTATTACAAGTCCTTTGCACTTCTATGTTAATTTTAGAATCAGCTTATACATTTCCACCAAAAAAGACTGCTGGGATTTTGATTGGAATTGCATTGAATCTACAGATCAATTTGGAAAGGAATGATACTTTGTAATATTGAGTCTTGCTATCCATGAACACATTATATCTCTCCTTTTATTTAGATCTTCTTTAATTTCTATCAGTAATTTTCATTGTGATATCTCATACATCTTTTGTCAGATTTAGCTCTTAAGTATTTTATGTATCTCATGCTGTTGTAAATGGTTTTGCTTCATTTCAATTTTCTATTATTCCTTGCTAGTATAAGGAAATAAATTGATGTTTGTGCCAGGCGTGGTGGCTCACACCTGTAATCCCAGCACTTTGGGAGGCCGAGGCGGGCAGATCATGAGGTCAGGAGATCAAGACCATCCTGGCTAACACAGTGAAACCCGGTCTCTACTAAAAATGCAAAAAATTATCCGGACATGGTGGCGGGCACCTGTAGTCCCAGCTACTCGGGAGGCTGAGGCAGGAGAATGGCGTGAACCTGGGAGGTAGAGCTTGCAGTGAGCCAAAATCCTGCCACTGCACTGCAGCCTGGGTGACAGAGCGAGACTCCATCTGAAAATAAATAAATAAATAAATAAATAAATAAATAAATAAATAAAATGAATTGATGTTTTTATTGTGATCTTGTATCTTACAATCTTGCTAAACCACTTATTAATTCTAGTAGCTTTTTGTAGATTTCATAAGATTTTCTAGGTAGAAATTTCATAAGATTTTCTAGACAATCAGATGACTTGATGACTTTATCATCTGCAAATAAAGATAGTCTTACTTCTTTCTATTCAATGTGAATGTCTTTTTTTTCTTACCTTTTTGCATGGGATACACCTCCAATACAATTTCAAGTAGAAATAATATAAGCACACGTTCTTGCCTTGCTCCTGAGCTGAGGGAGAATGCACCACTAAATATGACATTAGTTAAAGGTTCTTCATAGATGTATGCTCTTTATCAAGTTGAAGAATTTCCCCTCTCTTCCTGGTTTTCTGGGAGTATTACCAGAAATGGATTTGAAATTATGTCAAATGATTTTTCTACATCTATTGAAATGATCCTTTTTTTCTTTTTTAGTCTATTTATGTCGTGAACTACATTAATTATTCCAATGTTGGAGCAATGTTGCATTCCTGTGATAAATCCCATTTGGTCATGATATATTACTCTTTTTTTCTCCGCCTCCCGGGTTCATGCCATTCTCCTGCCTCAGCCTCCCAAGTAGCTGGGACTACAGGTGCCCGCCACCATGCCCGGCTAATTTTTTGTATTTTTAGTAGAGACAGGGTTTCACCATGTTAGCCAGGGTGGTCTCGATCTCCTGACCTCGTGATCCACCCACCTCAGCCTCCCAAAGTGCTGGGATTACAGGCGTGAGCCACCGTGCCCAGCCATATTACTCTTTTCATATATTGTTAGATTTGCTTTGCTAAAACTACAATAAGAATTTTACATCCACATTCAGGAGAACACTGGTTTGTAGGTTTCTTTCCTTGTAATATCAATTTCTGATTTTAACAACAGAGTAATAATACTGGTCTTGGCCAGGCACGTTGGCTCATGCCTGTAATCCCAGCACTTTGGGGGGCCAAGGCAGGCATATTACTTGGGCTGAAGATTTCGAGACCAGCCTGGGTAACATGGCAAAACCCTATCTCTACAAAAACATACCAAAAAATAGCCAGGTATGGTGGAGTGTTTCTGTAGTCCTAGCTACTTGAGAGGCTGAGGTGAGAGGATTGCTTGAGCCCAGGAAGCAGAGGTTGCAGTGAGCCAGGATTACACCATTGCACTCCAGCCTGGATGACAGAGGAAGACCCTGTCTCAACAAGTAATAATAATAATAATAATAATAATAATAATATTGTCCTCATAGAATTAGTTAGGAAGTAGTCTCTTCTCTTCAGTGTTTTAGAAGATGCAATGCAATGTGATGACATGCAATGCTCTGTAATGTCATGCATTTAGTTCTAAATATGTTACGAATCCCACAGTAATTGTTAATCAGTTTGCTTTAGGCCGTCAATTATTATTTAAAGAAAAATTTTTTCTTTAAACAATTTTTAAATCATAATTTTTAAAGTCTTTACACTTACCCAAGAAGTTACTATTTCCAGTGCCCTTCATACATTTGCGTAGATCAACATTTCTAGCTGGCACAATTTTCCTTCTGCCTGAAGAACTTCCCTTAACGTTTTATATTTATTTATTTATTTATTTATTTATTTTGAGACAAGATCTCACTCTGTCGCCCAGGCTGGAGTGCAGTGGCATGATCTCGGCTCACTGCAGCCTCCACCTCCCAAGTTCAAGCAATTCTTCTGCCTTAGCCTCCCAAATAGCTGGGATTACAGGCTCTTGCCAGCACGCCCAGCTAATTTTTGTATTTTTTAGTACAGACAGGGTTTCACCATGTTGGTCAGGCTGGTCTCCAACTCCTGATCTTGTGATCTGCCCACCTTGACCTCCCAAAGTGCTGGGATTACAGGTGTAAGCCACTGCACCAGGCCAACATTTCTTATAGTGCAGATCTGAGGTTGATGAATCTTTCAACTTCTGCATGCCTGAAAAAAAAGTTTTTATTTTCTCTTTAGTTTCCAAAAATGTGTTTACACAGTGAAGCATTCTAGATTGACAGATGTATTTATTTTCTTTGAGTAAAGATGTTAATCCACTGTCTTTTAGCTTGCATTGTTTCCAAGAAGAAATCTGCTGTCATGTTTCTCCATACATTATGTGTTGTTGTTTGTTTATTTGTGTGTTTTCCCCTCCTGGCTACTTTTAAGATTTTCTCTTTATCATCGGCTTTAAAAAATTTAATTATAGTGCGATTTGGCATAGTTTTATTCATAGCTCTTGTGCTTGGGTTTATTGTGGCTTTTGGATCTCTGGGTTTATAATTTTCATTATATTTGGAAACATTCTGGCTACTATTGCTTCAAATGTCTTTTCAGTCTCCTCTTCTCAGTCATCTTTAGAGATTCCAATTGCACACACTTTTTATTAAAGTCATCTCACAGTTCACTCATGATCTGCTCATTTATTTTCAGCCTTTTTTTTCCTCTGTGCATTTTATTTTGGATAGTTTCTATTTCTATGTCTTCAAGTTTACTAATATTTTCTCCAGTAATATCTAATCTTCCATGAATCCTCTCGTGTATTTTTCATCCCAGACATTATAATGCTCATCCTTAGAAATTTGGTTTGAATCTTCTTAATATTTTATGTTTCTAATTATCATGTTTGAGCTTTCCTCTATCTTCTTGAACATATGAACTGTAGTCACAATAATGATTTTGATGTCTTTGTCTACTAATTCCATTATCTGTGTTTTGCTGTGTTGGTTTTAGTTGATTTTTCCCTCTTGTGAATAATGTTTTTCTGATTTTCACATGTCTAAAAATTTCTTGAGTTTTTTCTAAGATATGGTTAGATTACTTAGGAACAGTTTTATACTTCCAGATCTTGCTTTTAAGGTTTTTGGGCAGGTTGTACTGCCCTGCATTATGGCCTGGAGATTCTCTCCAGGCAGTAGGGTGGGGCAATTGTAGGGCTCACTCATTTTTTTCCCATCTCTCTAGGATCACTGTCCTTCAGTATCTAATGTCCAATGTCTTTAGAGCCATTGTTTTATACATTTTTCAAGGTTTTTAGTTGTTTCAAGTAGGAGTATAAATCAGTCCATCTTGACCAGCCGTGTGTGTGTGTGTGTATGTGAGTATTAATCTTACATTTGTTACATTGAGCAAAAAGAGGAAGACAGGAAGAAAGGAAGTTTTCATTGTCTAGAGGTATTGACAATTTTGGAATAATTTGTGTTCATTCAATCAACAAATACACATTGAACTTCTGGGTGTCATCTCTTAATTTCATGCCCAATATCCTGACTAACAGTGCTCCAACTCTGTTTAAGGTACTTATATATCCAGCCCTAAGTAACGTATTTTTTTTTTCTTTTTTGAGACAGTCTCACTCTGTTGCCCAGGCTGGAGTGCAGTGGAGCGATCTCGGCTCACTACAACCTCTGTCTCCCAAGTTCAAGTGGTTCTCCTGCTTCAGCCTCCCGAGTAGCTGGGATTACAGACGTGTACCACCACCCTCAGCTAATTTTTGTATTTTAAGTAGAGATGGGATTTCACCATGTTGGCCAGTCTGTCTCTAACTCCTGACCTCAAATGATCTGCCTGCCTCAGCCTCCCAAAGTGCTGGGATTACAGGCATGAGCCATTGCACCCAGCCCCATGTAATGTTTCTTGATTGGTCTTAACGTGCACTGGCCAATATGATAGACCCTAACCACGTGTGGCAATTGAGCATTTGATATGTGACTAGTCTGAATTGAGATGTGCTGTTAGAATAAAATGCACAGCATATTTTTAATATTTAGTAACTTAATCATGTGTATATCGGTTTCATGTCAAAATAATAATATTTTTAATATATTAGGTTAAATAAAATACACTTTTTTTTTCGAGATGTAGTTTCGCTCTTGTTGCCCAAGCTGGAGTGCAATGCACAATCTCGGCTCACTGCAACCTCCATCTCCCAGGTTCAAGCAATTCTCCTGCCTCAGCCTCCCGAGTAGCTGCGATTACAGGCATGCACCACCACGCTCAGCTAATTTTTGTATTTTAAGTAGAGACAGGATTTCGCCATGTTGGCCAGACTGGTCTCGAACTCCCGACCTCAGGTGATCAGCCCACCTTGGCCTCCCAAAGTGCTGGGATTACAGGTGTGAGCCACTGCACCTGGCCTAGAATACACTATTAAAAGTAATTTCATCTCTTTCTTTTTATGTTTTTAATATGGTTACTGGAAGACTGTCAATTACACATGTGACTCACATTATATTTCTATTGGCCAGCACTAATTTAAACCAATCATGAGAATACTATTGAGTGTTAGAGTTCTCTAGGGAAACAGAACCAATAGGAGATATACATATACATATATACATATATATCTCCTATACATAGGCAAGTCCCAAGATCTGCAGAGTGAGTTGGCAAACCAGAGACCCAAGAGGGCTGATGGTTTCATTCTAGCCCAAGTCTGAAGCCCTGAGAACCAGGAGAACCAATAGTGTAATTCTTATCCAAAGACCAGCAGTTTCAAGGCCCAGGAAGAGCTGATGTTTCTGTTCACGTCCAAAGGCAAGAAAAAAGCTGATGACCCAGTTTGAAAGCAATCAGGCAGGAGGAATTCTTTCTTACTCAAGAGAGGGTCAGCCTTTTTGTTCAATTTAGGCTTTCAATTGATTGGAGGAGGGCTCACATTAGGGAAAGCAATCTGCTTTACTTGGTCTAACAATTTAAGTGTTAATCTCATCCAAAAGCACTCTCGCAGAAATACCCAGAACAATGTTTGATCAAATACCTGGGCACCCCATGGCCCAGTCAAGAAGACACACAAGGCCAGGCGTGGTGGCTCACTCCTGTAATCCCACCACTTTGGGAGGCCGAGGCAGGCAGATCACTTGAGGTCAAGAGTTCGAGACCAGCCTGGCCAACATGGTGAAACCCTGTCTCTACTAAAAGCACAAAAAATTAGCAAGGCAGGGTGGCACATGCCTGTAATCCCAGCTACTCGGGAGGCTGAGGCAGGAGACCAACCACCTTGGCCTCCCAAAGTGCTGGGGTTACAGGCGTGAGCCACCACACCTTGCCCGTGCAGGTCTTTGGGGGCCATGGAACATAATTTGGACTTTACTGTAAGTGCAGTGGGAAATTCTTGAAAGCTTTTTAGTGTCATAGCCAAATGGTGTTGAGTGAGTGAGTTCTGGTTGCAATGTGCAGTGTGGAAGCAGAAAGACCCATAGGAAGAGGCTGGAGTATATACAGGAAAGAAAATAGATAATCAAATACAAGATTGCATAGCTAAAATGAGAAGTCTGGTGGAAGTTTAATAGGCGGCAAGATCAGTGTGATTTGAGATGGTGAAGCTCTCTTGAATGTGTAATTACACTTTAAGTTCACCCATTACCTCCAGGCTACAGGACCTTGTCTGATTCTCTCTACTTGACAAAGACATGATGGCTGGCTCAAGGCCACAGAAATCAGTCACAGCATCAAGCAGCCCCTTCAGACCAGCTTCCTGGCCTAGCCTTCATGATGCCAAGGTTTCCTAAGGAAGACTACCAAACATCCCCCCAGTAAAGCCACCAAACCCAGGGAGACCCCGTCTCTGCGAAAAATTTAAAAATTAGCTGGGCATGGTGGCACGCACCTCTGGTCCCAGCTACTTGGGAGAATCGCTTGAGCCCAGGAGTTTGAGGCTGCAGTGAGCCATGATTGCACCACTGCACTCCAACCTGGGCAACAGGGCAAGACGCTCTCTCAAAAAAAAAAAAAAAAAAAACCATCAAACCCTTTGCTTGGAAAACTACCTTCAATCTCACCAGCTACGAATTATCACCCTGATCCCTTCTCCCTCCTTTCCTAAGTCCCAACGGGCCGCTTTTGGACAAGCAGCCTAGGGAAAAATTCTATGGGAATCACCACCGTTCTCAGCGGGCCCACGAGAGGGCGAAAGAGAGTCAACGGGCCTGGGACATCTTTTCTCTGGCTCCCAAGAGCAGGGAGGAAGTGGAATCCAGGGCAGGTGTGAGGCCGATTCTGGACTTGGGTGGGTGGGTAGGGGCTGAGATAAGGGAGGCCCCGGGAGCCTGGCAGCTGCTTCCCTTGCCCTCGCCTTCACAGCATGGTAGGAGAGGCCGCTGTCACCCCCACTGCTGGGCAGAAATGTATCTAGCCTTGGCTGACCCCACAAGGACACTGGGTCGCGGCACCTCAGATAAGATTCACTTGGTTGCAAGGCAGCAGGGCTTATATGTCAGTCATCCACAGGCTGCAGGCTGTGGGAGTGGGCGTGACTCCCACTGGGCAAAGGGCAATTCCCTAGAGAAGAGAGAAGGCCCCTGTGACCCAACAGGCACAGCAGCCGCAGATGCACCCTATCCTGCAAAGGGGTCTGGGCGAGGCACCCACAGTGTCCATTTCAGTCCCCTATCGGTTTACTGCTGACCCCAGCCAGCCTCTCTCCTCCTCTTTCCCGGGTAAGAACAGACATGGCCCAGGGTTTTCACATTGGCTGGGACAGTCCATGAAGTTCTAAGGGGTCCTGAGGCCCGACCTCCTGCAGCTGGGATCCTCTGTCGGCTCCCCTTCCCAGGCCCAGGGGAATCTTTCTTACACATTTGCCTCCTCTGGTTTCTCCCTGATGACGCAGGGATTCAGCCATGCTCTTCACTTAATGATTCATGTCTTTTCCTTCAGGGGCCCAGACTAACTTTTTCCTCTTTACAGCTTTGCAAAAACAAAGGTCCCATCCCCACCACCTTATCACTTACACCATAAGGGGTTTGTGACTTTTAACTAAAAGAACCTTTATTACAGCAGAAATGCCATGTGCCAGAGAAGATACCCACCCAGCCCCCAGTGGCTTTGGGAACCTGCAAAACACAGTAAAGGTTGAGAACAACTGAATTTCCAGCATCTTTCCTCATCCTGGGAATTCCTAGGAATCCTCCACTGACCGAGTCAGCACAGAAATGAAATGGAAACTGGAGGCTTAGCCAATCAGATGCTTCCACCCAGCTCTTTGAGCCTGTAGTGAGTGATACAAGAAGCCAAGGACAGTGAACTATTCATCCTGGCAGTGGTGGCAGCAGCAGCATCCTGGGGCCTGGCTACATGGTGGTGATGGCCACAGTGTCCCCCAGATGTTCCAGCAGCATGGTTTTCATCGTGGTCTTGGCTATCCAGCTGCTACCTTTGGTGCCTGCGTGATTTCTGGGTCCAGTCTTCAAGATATTCTGTGAGCTAATCAATACCCTTCCATTAGGTTTTTTGTTTTTTTGTGTTTTTTTTTGCCATAATCAGAGCCTGTTTCTTCTGCTTGCAACTGCGAATGGACTAATACAGAGTCTTTGAAGGGTATGGGCAGGGAGAAATGATGGGACCTGGCTTGTACTTTGAAGAAGTCCTATAGGCTGCTATGTGGCCACGATAGTAGAGCACAGCTACAGCAAATGTGAGTAGACCAGGTAGACAAGTTCCTTGGACTGGGGTGGTGGCAATAGGAAAAGTTGAATGGCGTTTTGGGGGGTGAAAATCAAATTGGCTTGGTGAGGTAACGGATGTCGGAGAAGTGGGAGGAAGGACTCAGGATGTCACCCAGGTTTCTGTCTTTCACAAGTGGGTGTTGCGTTAGATTGATTGCAAAAATGGCCGCAATTCTCCACCCCTCCCTTTGCAATATGATTTAGTAACATCTCTCATCAAGAAGCAGAACTTTGCCAGGTGCTGTGGCTCACATCTGTAGTCCCAGCTACTCGGGAGGCTGAGCTGCGAGGACTGCTTGAGCCCAGGAGTTCGAGGCTGTAGTGAGCTATGATTACGCCACCGCACTCCAGTCTGGGTGACAGAGCAAGACCCTGTCTCTAAAGCAAACAAACAAAAGAAT
Organism: Homo sapiens; assembly: GCF_000001405.40. Taxonomy (NCBI): domain Eukaryota; kingdom Metazoa; phylum Chordata; class Mammalia; order Primates; family Hominidae; genus Homo; species Homo sapiens. Next base: position 4,090,100 of record NC_000020.11, on the reverse strand, counting down.
CAGAACTTTTTCCCAAACTCTTTCAAGTGAGGCTTGGCTTTGAGAGTTGTTTGACCAAAAGAGTTTGGCAGAAGTGACAGTCTGTCAGTTCCAAGTAAAGACCTTATAAGATCTTGCATGTTTTCATTTGTTTTCCTGAAACCCTGCAATCACTATGTGACTAAGCCTAGACTAGCCTGCTGCATGGCCACGCTATACCAGCCAGCTTCCAGCCAACCCAGCATCTGATTGCAAAAGCCTAGAGAAATAATAAATGGTTAATGCATTAAGCCAGTAAGTTCTGGGGTGGTTTGTTATCCAGCAAGGGCAAACTGATATATATATATATATATATATATACACACACACACACACACACACACATATATATACACATATATATACACACATATATATACATATATATACACACATATATATACATATATATACACATATATATACACATATATATACATATATACACATATATACATATATACACACATATATACATATATACACACACATATATATACACATATATATACATATATATACACATATATATACACATATATATACACATATATATATACACACACACACACAAACACACACCTCCCTATATATATAAAACCATCAGATATATATATGTGTGTGTATATATGTATATGTATGTATGTATATAACATATGTCAGGTATAACATATCAGGTATGTGTGTGTATATATATATACACATATATATATATACACACACAGACACACACCATGGTGTGTGTGTATATATGTATATACATATATATATATGTCCATCCACATCCCAACCAAGCCCACCACCCTCTAGACTTTCAAGGGCTCCTGACTACCTGGACTTTCCACTGTTCTCCTTGGCCCATGAAATTGGATGTCCCTGTCCCAAGGCTGTCTGCAGTACACTCGAACTTGCTCTGCCCTTGAACTTGCTCTTGGGCATATCAGCTGCCCCTTAGGCCAGACCCTGGGCTTTCTGTATCTCAGAAATCTGCTTTTATCCCTGGACCCCACATTAGTCCCTGTTCCTGGCCTTTGGGATTTGCCGTGGTTGTGGTTGGGCCCTCCAACTGGGTGAGGGCCCAACTGCTCACTCCCAGGAGACCAGTACCCACATCCCAGCACAGAGCAGGTGAGAGCTCCCACACTCCTTTTTACCCACTCTCACGGCCTTACTGTGTGCCCTTCTGTAGCTTCTGTGACCCATTGATCTTCCTACAACCTCCCTGGCAGGATCTCTTTGCTCCTCTCCATCCCATATTCAATACCGGGTCCCTGTGGAGCGCCAGGCTCTATACTAAGGACCCTGTGTGGGTCCCCCAAGGGCAGAAACCATCTTTCCCCATCAACTCAAAGTCTCCTAGGCATAAAGGCTGGGGGTGGAGGGCTGAGGACTGACCCAGGACCTCTATTTTGCCTCCTGTAAATAAAGATATCTCAAAATACAGTAAGAAGACCAACTAAGTGGGTGAAACTCCACCAACTGACAGATAATTGTCACATCTTAACTATACATCTTTCCTCGGCAGGCAAGACACATCTAGGCCTGGTGAAGACAGAAACGCTAGTCCCCCCCCTTATTTGCAGGGGATACATTCAAGACCCCCAGTGGATGCCTGAAACCGCAGATAGTACCAAACCCTATACATACTATGGATTTTTCTATATGTACATATCCACCATAAAGTATAATGCATAAATTAAGCACAGTTAAGAGGTTAACAATAATAACTGATAATAAAATAGAACAATTATAACAACTGTTCTATTTTATTCTCAGTTATTATTGTTAATAATAATTATGTTGTGATGATGTTAAGCATCACCACTTTTGCATCCAGGGGTCGTTATTAAATGAAGTAAGGGTTACCTGAACATAAGCACTGCGATACCTCAGCAGTTGATCTGACAGCCAAGACAGCTACCAAGTGACTAATGAGCGGGAAGAATATGCAGCATGGACGTGCTGGACAGAGGGATGATTCACTCTACTCAGCATGGCAGGCAATTTAAAATGGGAGTTGCTCATTTTGTTTTTTGGTTTTCTTTTTCTTTTTCTTTTTCTTTTTTTTTTTTTTTTTGAGACTGAGTCTCACTCTGTCACCCAGGCTGGAGTGCAAGGGTGCAATCTTGGCTCACTGCAACCTCTGCCTTCCAGGTTCAAGCGATTCTCCTGCCTCAGCCTCCCAAGTAGCTGGGACTACAGGCACACACCACCATGCCCAGCTAATTTTTGTATTTTAGTAGAGAAGGGGTTTCACAATGTTGGCCAGGCTAGTCTCAAACTCCTGACCTCAAGTGATCTGCCCGTCCCAGCCTACCAAAGTACTGGGATTACAGGTGTGAGCCACCCCATCTGGCCAAAACATGAATTATTTATTTCTGGAATTTTTCCATTCAATATTTTCAATCTGTGATTGACAGCATCTAACTGAAACCGCAGAATGCAAAATTGCCAATAAGGTGGGGGACTATTGTAATTTTCTTTTTCTTTTGTGAACCACTCCCTCCCAGGGCCAAAAAGAGTCAGATCCTCTGCAGCAGGGGTCTCCAGCTCCCGCAGTACTGATCCATGGCCTGTTAGAAACTGGGCCACACAGCAGGATGTGAGCTGCAAGTGAGTGAGCATTACCGCCTGAGCTCCGCCTCCTGTCAGATCAGCAGCAGCATTAGGTTCTCATAGAAGCACGAACCCTACTGCAAACTGCGCATGTGAGGGATCTAGGTTGCACGCTCCTTATGAGAATCTGATTAATGCCTGATGATCTGAAGTCGAACAGTTTCATCCCAAAACCATCCCCTCCCCCCTACCCCGTCTGAGGAAAAATTGTCTTCCTCAAAACCAATCCCTGGTGCCAAAAAGTTTGGGGACCACTGGTCTACAAAGAATGCGCATGGATCAGGTGGGGACATGCTATGGTTTGAATGTCCCCTCCAAAACTCATGTTGGAATTTAACTCCCATTGTAGCAGGGTTGAGAGGTGGGGCCTTTAAAAGGTTGGTGAATGCCGTTATCAGTCAAATGGGTTAGTTATCCCAGGAGTGGTTTCCTGATAAAAGGATGAGTTTGGCCAGTTTTCTTTCTGTCTCACACATGTGCTTCCTCACCATGTGATATCTTCCACCATGGGATAAAGCAGCATGAAGTCTTCATCAGTCAGACACCAGCGTCATGCTCTTGGCCTTGCCAGCTTCCAGAACCGTGAGCCAAATACATTATTTTCTTTATAACTTACCCAGTCTGTGGTATTCAGTTATAGCAGCAGAAATGGACTAAGATGGAACACAAGAGAGGGAAGGAAGTGCAGAGAGAGGGGGAGAAGAGGGAATAAAACTTCCCCAGAGCTGCGGAGAGCCTACCCCATCTCTTCATCCCTGGGAATCAGGGAGGGGCTGCAGACACAGCCCCTAAGCCTGCTCTGCATGATGAGAAGCATAAAGACCTGACCCTACAGCGTAGTACCCTAAGCATGTTCCTCCTGCCTGCGATGAAAGGGGCTATCTCCCCACCCACATACAACCCATCTGCCTCAGGTGTCCACACCATGGAGGCAGAATGTCATGGGCTTGCTGTCAGACCATGTCAGATCATGCTGGGAGATAAATTCCCACCATTAACTCAGAACATGGTGGTGCTGGTTGTGGGGTCCTATGGCCAGAGCCTATGCCCTCGCTGTCCATGATAGCTGCATGGGGGGTGTAGGCTGGCACCAGCTACAGATGCCCTGAGAGCTGCTGTCCAAAGAGCTGTTCTGAAGAAGCTTTGCTGAGGGGCACAGGGCCGTGGGGGGAGAGAGAGGCAGCCGTGGGGGCGCCCCAGATGTTGCCCCATGCCCTTCCAGGGCCTGCCTGGAACTGAAGACACGAGCCCTTGTGAGAGTCAGAGGCACTCGGTCGGGCGCGGTGGCTCACGCCTGTAATCCCAGCACTTTGGGAGGCCGAGGCGGGCGGATCACGAGGTCAGGAGATCAAAACCATCCTGGTTAACACGGTGAAACCCTGTATCTACTAAAAATACAAAAAAATTAGCCGGGCGTGGTGGCGGGCGCCTGTAGTCCCAGCTACTCGGGAGACTGAGGCAGGAGAATGGCGTGAACCCAGGAGGCGGAGCTTGCAGTGAGCCGAGATCGCGCCACTGCACTCCAGCCTGGGCGACAGAGCGAGACTCCGTCTCAAAAAAAAAAAAAAAAAAAGTCAGAGGCACTCATCTGAGTTCCCACTTCAAATTGGCAGAGGTCAGGGAGGAGTCCCCACGATAGGACCTACAGGCTGGCAAAGAACGTGCAGGTGGAGGAGGCAAGACAGTGAGGTCACACCAAGGGGCCGGAGAGAGGTCATTCCATGACTGATGTTCTTGGAATCCGGAATCTGCCCTGCGTGCACAAAAATGCCCTCGGAGAGCACGGGGCTGGGGAGCTGGCAGAATCTTCACAGATGCTGAAGAGAGGCACAGCGCAGGCCCTCCCCTGAGTCTTCCCTGATGAAAAAAGGAGGCCAAGGGCAAAGCGGAGAGTGCCGGAGAGCCCTCATTCCTGTTCCCTCGCCACCTGGGGCCCGGGAACCAGACGGACCCTGCGTTAGGATGTGCCGTTGCTGCCTGACTTAAGGCTGGAAAAATACCACGCCCAAGGGTTGGCAGGGGGCTGTGGCTGACCACCAGGGGGCAGCTGTGAGCCCCATGGCCAGGCACGCGCATAGCTCTCTTCAGGGAAAGCAAGCCAGGCTTTCACTGACTGAGACCCTGCTTTAAAAATCTCAGCCAGTAGCTGCTCCCCTGAGCCCATAAGGAGTCCTCAGGTTGAGAGGTGTGCGATGTCCTCCAAGAAACCTTTGTCCCAATAGGCAGACCCCTAAATACCCCAACCACGTTTCAGTACCAAAAATGGGATCCTATACTTTAAAAACCTGACCTTGGTGTGACCCCTAACCCTGGCCTCAGACTTCCCCCAAACCCATTGCAATCCTTCATTTATTTAACCAGTATTTATTTAGCATCTACTATATACCAGCAGCCTATTAGACACCTGGGATTCTTCAGTGAACAAATCAGACAAAGACCCCTGCCCTCCTGGGACTTCTATTCTCTGAAAGGAAGGTGCCATTGAACCATCCACAGTTGCCCGTGATTGGCCAGAATGATTTGGGTGGCTCTGAATGAAGCCATCATGCAATTCAGCTTCGGACAGGTGACTCAAGTGGTTCTAAGGAGCCTCGCCTTACAGCTTGAGCATTAGGCCTCCTGACCATCAGACCCAGAGAGAGTGATGAAGACTGAGGACATCTGAGTCTAGGAGAGACTTCAACTTTTTGGCGTGTGACTTCCATTTCTTTCTCTCAAAAGTAGAGGATAGTGCCTTATTCTTTGAAATTTGCAATGTACTGCCTTTCGACTACAGGGCTTTCACAGAGCAGAAATCTGTTGCTTATTTGATCTGAAACTTCAGTGCTCAGAGAAAATATTCACCTCGGTCTCATTGCATCATTCTCTGAAGAAGGGCCTCTGGGTACCAGTGGCCAAAATCTCATCCTCTTATTCCAAAGATTGGTTCCCCTCTCTGTCTTCTCTCTCTGCGTGTTTATGGCACCATTCTTCCCCAGAGACCTCAGCTGGAAATCTCAGCCTCATATCTAATTCCTCTCTCTTTCTTCCCCAGATCAATCCAGACACCCATCAGTTCTACCTTCTAAATGCCTCTTGATCCTGTTCTCTCCTCTCCACCCCATAGCCACTGCACTGGCCAGGCCACCATCTTTGCTCACCCACACAATTGCCATGTCACAGTTGATCCCCAGATTCCTGTTCTGAAGATACTACTGTCAAGCCCCTGTGCATGGTGTCCTTCAGGCTCATTCGCTTCACCTGAGGGCCCAACCAGGCAAGCTCTCTCCCTGCTGCCTCCTGCCATCCCTACTTACCCCTCTGGACCTCTGCTCCTCTCCTGGCACCTGTACTTCCTGCAGCTCCTCTCTAAAATTTACCAAAATACTCTATCTCCACTTTCACCCTCCCAGGAAGCTCTCCCCAACCAGGCCATTCAAGTAATTCCTTCCTCTATAGCATCTTATTCTTCACTATCCAAGCTTACCTGGGGCAAAGTCCTGTGTTCCCGCAAAACTGTGAGCTCCTGAAGTCAGAGTCAGTCTTTGTCTCCTCTTTGGCCTCAACTAGTGCCTGGTCCCCATGAAGGACCTAGAAGATACCTGCTGCATGGCAGATAGAGCTAAAGGCATCAGTGGCATGGTTAAATCAACCTATGACACCTCAACTCTCAGAAATATGGAGTAGATGTGTTTTTTCCTATTCTTTCCAGTAAATATGGCTAAAAACCCTAGATACTGCCTATAAAACAAGCATCTGAAAGCAGAGAGAAGAAGGCAAACCAGCTAGGGACTTTGGGGCCTAGGGAATGACACAGCAATGAGTTCTCTGGGTTTATCTTTTTGGCTCATATATCCCAGACAGTGTGCAAAGAAGCCAGCATTCTGGAAACAACAATGGGAATAGATGCCCCACAAAAGCCCAAGAAAATCCTGCTCTGCTTGCCAAAGGACCAAGATGGAGTGGCCTAGCAAAACAGAAAACTTTTAGACAATGATCGTTCTGTGCCAGCCAAATACCATAGGAAAAAATGTAAGACCCCACCCCCACCCGCACCATCAAAGGCTGAGTGGGGAGCCTCGGCTTCATGGCTAGGCTCAGGCTGGACTTCACGGCTTCAGGCTATCATGAGGTTTCAATCTCCTTCCCCCTGGCCAGGCTAGTGTCAGAAAAAGCTGGGTGGGAAGCCAGGACTTTTATCCCGCTGGGCAGCAATGAGGTCTCCCTTCCCAGGGGTGTCAGTGGAGACCACATGGGAAGCCTGGACTTTCATTCCCAGCTGGTGGTAACGGAGCACCCCTCCTCCTCTCCCCCGCCCTCCTCCTCTCCCCCGCCCTCCTCCTCTCCCCCGCCCCCCTCCTCTCCCCCGCCCCCCTCCTCTCCCCCGCCCCCCTCCTCTCCCCCGCCCCCTCTCCAGTGGTCTCAGAGGAAGCCTGGTGGAGACTCAGGACTTTCGCAACTGCCAAACGGTAACAAGGCTATCCTGCTTCCCCACAGTATCAGTGGAGGTCACATGTGAAGCAGTGACAAGGGAACTCTGCCCCTCCCAGCCAGGGTGTTGTCGATGGAGACCTAGTAGGAAGCCTGAACCCTACCCACTGCCCAACAGTGATGAGGCGCTCCTTCCCTGACCCTGACTGTCAACAGAGGCAGAGTGGGGAACCTGGACCTTCACCTCACCTGACAGGAACAAAGTAGCAGCCCCTTTCCCTAGAGCAAGTCAGAGGAGGCCTCTGCTAAATCAGATTTAAAGAAGCTCCAAGGTCTCACAACAGAAACTCAAAATGTTGAGGTTTCCGTTGAAAATGACTCATCAAACCAAGAACCAAGAAAACCTCAAATTGAATTAGGAAAAATAATCAACAGACACCAGTGCCTAGGTGACATGGATATTAGAATTGTCTGACAAGAATTTCAAAGCAGCCATCATGAAAATGCTTCAATGAGCAACTACAAACCCTTGAAAAAAACACACAAAAATAGAAAGTCTCAGCAAAGGAACAGAAAGTCGTGGGTCTCAGCAAAGAAACAGGAGACATAAAAAAGAACCAAATGGAGGCCAGGCACAGTGGCTCATGCCTGTAATCCCAACACTTTGGGAGGCTGAGACGGGTGGATCATTTGAGGTCAGGGGCTCAAGACCAGCCTGGCCAACATGGTGGAAACCCCATCTCTACTAAAAATACAAAAATTAGCCAGGCGTGGGGGTGCCTGCCTCTAATCCCAGGTACTCAAGAGGCTGAGACAGAAGAATCCCTTAAACCCAGGAGGTGGAGCTTGCAGTGAGCCGAGATGTTTGCGCCACTGCACTCCAGCCTGGGCGACAGACCAAGACTCCTTCTCAAAAAAAAAAAAAGAACTAAATGGAAATTTTAGAACCAAAATATACATCAACAAAATTTAAAATTCAATGGATGGATTGAACAGCAAAATAGAGATGACAGCATAAAGAATTAGTGAACTTGAAAATAGAACAATAAGATTACCCAATCCAAGCAACAGAGAGAAAATAGTAGAGAAAAAAATGAACAGAACCCAAGAGACTTGTGAGGCTGTAACAAAAGATCTAACATTTGTGTCACTAGAGACCCAGGTGGAGAGGTGAAAGGATCTACATTTGAAAAAGTATTTGAAGAAATAATGGCTAAAAATGTCCCAAATTTGACAAAAGACATGAACCGACAGATTCAGGAAGCTAAGTGAAACTCAAACAGGATAAACCCCAAGAAGTTCAAATCAAAACATATCTTGGCCAAACTTCTAAAAACTAAAGCCAAAAAAAAAAAAAAAAGTCTTGAAAGCAGAGAGAAATGACGCATTGCCTACAGGAGAAAAATAATTGGAAAGACGTCAGATTTCTTATCAGAAACCCTAAAGTCCAGAAGAGAGTGGCACATTTCTTTTCTAGTGCTGAAAAGAAAAAAAGGAACTCTCAACCCAGAATTCTATATCCAGTAAAAAGATTATTCAAGAATGACGGGAATCCAGATGTTCTCAGATTAGGAGAACCAGGAGAATTTGTTGTCAGCACCTGCCATTTAGGAATGACTAAAAAGAAGTTGTCTAAACAGAAAGGAAATGATGAACAAAGGAATTTTTCTTTTTTCTTTTTTTTTTTTTTTGTTGAGACAGAGTCTCGTTCTGTCACCAGGCTGGAGTGCAGTGGTGCAATCTCAGCTCACTGCAACATCTGCCTCCCAGATTCAAGCGATTCTTCTGTCTCAGCCTCCTGAGTAGCTGGGACTACAGGCACACGCCACCATGCCCGGCTAAATTTTTTGTATTTTTAGTAGAGACGGGATTTCACCATATTGGCAAGGCTGGGCTCGAACTCCTGACCTCATGATCCACCAGCCTCGACCTCCCAAAGTGCTGGGATTACAGGCGTGAGCCACCACACCTGGCTGAATGAAGGATCTTAGAACAACAGTAAAGAAGAAAGAACAATGAAAAGCACAAAAATATGGATAAATACAACAGACTTTCCTTATCCTCTTGAGTTTTCTTTCTTTCTTTCTTCCTTTCTTTTTTTTTTTTTTTTTTAGATGGAGTCTTGCCCTGTCGCCAGGCTGAAGTGCAATGGCGTGATCTTGGCCTCCCGAGTTCGAGCGATTCTCCTGCCTCAGCCTCCCAAGTAGCTGGGACTACAGGCACGCGCCACCAGGCCCAGCTAATTTTTGTATTTTTAGTAGAGTCGGGATTTCACCACGTTGGCCAGCATGGTCTCGATCTCTTGACCTCATGATCCACCTGCCTCGGCCTCCCAAAGTGCTGGGATTACAGGCATGAGCCACCGTGCCAGGCCTCTTCTTTAGATACAGTGATGGGGTCTCACTATATTACCCAGACTGGTCTTGAACTCTTAGGCTCAAGCAGTCCTCCTGCCTCGGCCTCTCAGTGTTGGGATTACAGGCATGAGCCTCTTGATTTTTCTAAATTATGTTTGACAGTTAAAGTAAAAAATGTACTTTGGGATGCCAACGCGGGCGGATCACCTGAGGTCAGGACTTCAAGACCATCCTGGCCAACATGGTGAAACCCCGTCTCTACTAAAATTACAAAAATGAGTTGGGCGTAGTGGTGCACACCTGTAATCCCAGCTACCTGGGAGGCTGAGGCAGGAGAATCACTTGAACCCGGGAGGCAGAGGTTGCAGTGAGCCGAGATCGCACCATTGCTCTCCAGCCTGGGCGACAAGAGTGAGACTTCGTCTCAAAAAAAAAAAAAAAAAGGCCGGGCGTGGTAACTAATGCCTATAATCCCAGCATTTTGGGAGGCCAAGGCAGGCGGACCACGAGGTCGGGAGTTTGAGACCAGCCTGGCCAACATGGTGAAACCCCATTTCTACTAAAGATATAAAAAATTAGCTGGGCATGGTGGCATGCACCTGTAATCCCAGCTACTCGGGAGGCTGAGGGAGAAGAATCACTTGAACCCGGGAGGCGAAGGTTGCAGTGAGCCGAGATCGTGAGATCGCACCATTGCACCCCAGACTGGGTGACAGGGCAAGACTCTATCTCAAAAAATAAATAAATAAATAAAGCAAAAATTATAACACCGTATGATGTGGTTCTCAACAAATATAAATATTTAAGACAATTATATTAGAAATGGAAGAAAGTAATGCGATGTTAGGAAGGTAGGTTTTACACTTCACTTGAACTAGTTAAATGTTAATACTCATAGATAGTGTGACTTGAAAGATTTGAAATCACATAGAGTGTGTTCTCTGACCACAATCGAATACATACAGAGACAGAGATACGAATATAGATAGATATTTGAATAGACAGATATAAATATAGATAGCTATATATCTAGAACAACTACTGAAAAGGGTATACAAGAGATATACACTCACAAACACTATCGATAAATCAAAATGAATGAAAACATTCAAGTGTCCCGTAGAAAGGCAGGAAAGAAAAAACAAAGAGAACAATAGAAAACTTAAAAATTTAATGGCTGACTTAATTCCTAACATATAAATAATTCCATTAAATATAAATTTACCCAAGCATACCAATTAAAATACAGAGATTGACAGAGAGGATTTAAAACATGACCCAACTATATGCTATCTACACAGAACTCATTTCAAATGTAACAATATAGGTAAATTGAAAGTTAAAAGATGGCTAGGCGTGGTGGCTCACACCTGTAATCCTGGCCATTTGGGAGGCTGAGGCAGGAGGATCACTTGAGCCCAGGAGTTTGATGCTGCAGGGAGCTATGATTGTGCCACTGCACTCTAGCTTGGGTGACAGAGTGAGACCCTGTCTCTAAATAAAAATTTAAATTTAAATTTAAAAATTAAAAAGATCAGTTTTACACCACAAACATAAATCAAAAGAAAGCGAGAGTGGCTATATTGATGTCAGACAACGCGACTTCAGAGCAAAGAAAATTACCAAGGCCATTCTACAATGATAAAATGGTCAATCCACCAAGAAGGCATAGCAATCCTAAATGTGTATGCACAAAACAACAGAGCTGCAACATATGTGAAGCCAAACTTGATCAAATTGAAAAGAGAAATAGACAAATGCATTATTGTAGTTGGAGAATTCATTTTTCTCTCAGCAATTGATAGAGCAACCAGACAGAAAATCAGCAAAGATATAGAAGACACCAACAATACCATCAAACAACAGAATCCAGCTGACATTTATAGAACACTCCACCCAAAAATAGCAGAAACCACATTCTTTTCAAGCACCCAGGGAACATATATCAAGATAGGCCATATCCTGGACCATAAAATACACCTCAACAAATGTAGAAGAATTGAATCATACTGTGTTTTCTGACCACATGGAACAAATAACAGAAAGGTAACAGGAAAATCTCCAAACACTTGGAAATAAAACAATACACTTTAATCCTTGGGTTAAAGAGGAGGCTCATGGGAAATTAAAAAAAATACAGTGAACTAAATGAAAATGAAAATACGACGTACCAAAATGTGTGGGACACACTTAAAACAGTGTTAAGGGGGAATTTGTGAAACTAAATGTTTACATTAGAAATGAGGAAAAAACTCAAATCAATAATCTAATCTCCCATCTCAAGAAACTAGAAAAAGAAGAGCAAAATAAACCCAAATTCAGCAGAAATCAGGAAATAATAAGAGCAGAAATCAATGAAAGTAAAAACAGAAAACAATATAGAAAAGCAATAAAACAAAAAGTTGATTCCTTGACAAGATCAATAAGATGGACAAACCTCTAGCAAGACTGACAAAAGAAAAAAGAAAGAAAACACAAGTTACGAATTTCAGGAAAGAAACAGGTATCTGTTGTTATCACTGAACACCCCAAAGACATTAAAAAAAGAATAAGATAATACTACCAACGCTACACACATACATTTAACAACTTCAATGAAATTGACAAATTCCTCAACAACCGCAAACAAGCACAATTTGCCCAATATGAAGTGAATAATTTGAGTAGCCCTTTCACTCTAAGGAAAATTGAATTCAAATTTTTAAGACTATTAAAATGAAAGAAGAAATCTTCAACCCTGATGATTTCACTGGCGAATTATACCAAATGTTTAAAGAAAAATTAACACCAGTTCTACACAATCTCTTCCAGAAAATAGAAGAAGAAAGCATGTTTCCTAATTCATTTTATGTAGCCAATATTACTCTAATACCAAAACAAGGCAAAGTACAAAAAAGAAAACCATAGTCCAATATCCCCAATGAATACAGATGAAAATGTCCTTAACAAAATATTAACTAATAGAATTCAGCAATATACTAAAATACACACATATACACATTATGTATAATAAACATATTAAAGAGAGAGATTATAACCAGATGAGGCTTATTCCAGGTATTAATGGCTTGTTCAGTATTAAAAATAAATCACTGTAACTCATCATATCAATAGGCTAAAGAAGAATTATATCTGCTGGGCGCGGTGGCTCACGCCTGTAATCCCAGCACTTTAGGAGGCCGAGGCAGGCAGATCATGAGGTCAGGAGATCGAAACCATCCTGGCTAACACTGTGAAACCCGGTCTCTACTAAAAAAAAAAATACAAAACATTAGCCAGGCGTGGTGGTGGGCACCTGTAGTCCCAGCTACTCGGGAGGCTGAGGCAGGAGAATGGCATGAACCCGGGAGGTGGAGCTTGCAGTGAGCCAAGATCGCACCACTGCACTCCAGCCTGGGTGACAGAGCGAGACTCCGTCTCACCAAAAAAAAAAAAAAAAAAAAAAAAAAAAGCATAAAACTATAAAACTTTTAGAAGAAAACATAAAAATCATCAGGACCTAGGGCTTAGTGAAGAGTTCTTATACATGACACCTGTTCCATGAAAGGGCCGCACATGCAAAGCAGTCCTCAAATGCCAAAGAAGCCAAGAAACCAAAGAAGGAGGCAGGCAAATCCCATTTGTCAGTATAAGGTGGCTTATTAGGGGCAACTTATAGACAGAAGTCTGGTCTTGGGCCACCACAAGACAGGTAGATCTCTACACCACACCTCCCCAGGCAGGGGGCTTACATCTTGGGGGAAAAGTATACGTGCTCTGAAAGGAATGTGTAGTTGGCTATGAGTGTCACAGCCTATGACTTCTGCAACAGCATCAAGAGCTGTTTTGGAGGAAACTTACAATCATTAGGTGTTTCCACATAAAGAGTAATACATCAGCTAGACATGTTGGAGGCATTCCCGGACTTGTGGTTAGTCACTGGATTAGCATTTAAAATAAAGCCTCTCTTGTCCCCACAACATCGAAATCAATAAATTGGAATTCATCAAAATGAATAAACTTTTCTCTACAAAAGGCCCTCTTAAGAAGATAAAAACACAAGCTACACCTAGGAAAAAATATTTGCAGACCACGTATCTGACAAAGGATGTGTATCAGAATATAGAAAGACTCTCGAAACTCAACAGTTAAAAAAAAACCAAATAATCTAATTAGAAAATAGGCAAGAGATATGAGGAGATATTTTATCGAAGAGGCTATACAATGGCAAATAAGCACATGAAAAGATCCTCGACATCATTAGTCTTTAGGAAAATGCAAATTAAGACCATGATGATATATCCCTACACACCTATTAGAAGAGCTAAAAATTAAAAATAGTGAACATATCGAATACTTGAGAGGATGTGAAGGAACTGAATCTCTCACCCATTACTAGTGAAAATATAAAATGATAGAGCCACTCCGGATAATGGTTGAGCAGTTTCTTTAAAAACTAAACATAAAGTGACCATACAGCCCAGCAATGCACTTGTGGGCATTTATCCCAGAGAAATAGGGCTATGGCCACACAAGTACCAGAATGGAAACAACCAAAATGTTTTACAATAAGTGAATGATTGAACAAACTGTGGTATATTTACACCAGAGATTACCACCCAAAATTAAACTATTGACACATGCATCAACCTGGATGGATCTCAAGGGCACGAATCTGAGTGGGGAAAAGAAAATCACGAAAGGTCACATACTGTATGCTTCGATTTATATAACATTCTCAAAATGACAAAACTATGGAGAACGCATTAGTGGTTACCAGTGCTTAGGGATGGTGGGGAGAGAGGAGGGTGAGACTGAAGGAGTTGCAAGAGAGAGATCTTGATGGTGATGGAACAGTTCTGGATCTTGGCAGGGTGGTGGTTACACAAACCTGCACAAGTGATAAAATAACATAGAACTATACACACATTGTATCAATGTCACTTCCCAGTTTGGGTGTTATATTATAGTTAATTAAGATGTAATCTTTGAAGGAAACAGGGTGAGGGGTTCATGGGTCCTCTCTGTACTATCTTTGCAATTCTGTGAATTTCTAACAATTTCAAAATTTAAAGTTTTTTTTTAAATCAATACATGAACATTCACAGTGGTGACAGCCTCGGTTGGGTTTGAAGACTGGGTTGGGTTTGAAGTTCTGGATTGAGAAAGGAGTAAGCCTATTTTGGTATGTGGGGAGAAGGGGAAAGGAATCAGAACAGACATAAGTTTTGGCTGTGGGTTGCAAACACTTCTTCCTTCTTGATGGCAGGAAGTCTCAGGCAGGCTGCAAAGACCTGGAAGCTGAAGACTCCAAGGGGGAGCAGAACTGCTGCGACCGCTTACACTGCAGTTCCTGGACCCTAGGGGCCTCCCTACCCCACTGTGGGATTCTCTCTATCCAGAACACAGCTGGTGCCCTGGGGTCATGACACCCCAGAAACTCATCTGTTCTGGTCTTTGGCAAGTCTGCAGACCAACTTTGACCAATAGAGAACTAAGGCAGCAAGTTTTCCAGTGTCATACAGATAGACAATTGCATCAGAATAGAGACACGTGACTTCTGAATGCGGACTGGAGGAGATGAGGATGGAGGGCTGGGAGGATAGTAAGAGAGGGAGCAGGGAGACCAGTTACGGGCCACTGAAGTAGTCAAGGTGTCAGACAAGAGCTTTGAGACAAGAGGACTCGTCTTAGAGATAGATTGCATGAGGGCCATGAGGGTAAGGGAGGTGTCCAAGCTGACCTCAGCCTTCTGGCTTGTCCACTGGTTGGATGGGGTCACCATTTTATTGTAATGGCGGATACTGGTTGCAGAGAACTGAGTGTTGGAGGACCATGAATGAGTTCCATTTCAGATCTGCTCAGCTTGCTGTCCCTGGGAGACAACCACAGGAGTTGTTTAGGAGACACCGGGCTACTTCAGCCTGGAGCTCCAGGAGGAGGTCTGCATTGGTCGTTGGGACAATAGGACCAGGCAAGTACATGGAAAGAATGTCAAATTCCATCAGGCATAAAAAGAACAGTTGAACTCAGGTGGTAAAGGGGCAAGAAGGGAGGAGTGGTTTACAAAATTCCAAAACAGATGATCAAGTCAGAGAGAGGTAGTCAAATAATTGAGCATGGGGGTTGTTAAAGTGACATTGGTTCTTGCTGTCACATTGACAGATTAGAGAGGAAGTTGAGAGTCAAAGCCATCCGCTGAAAACATACAGTTAGTAAAAAGTGCGTGGCTCCCAGGCAGTTGGGTGACTTTCCACAGCTTCTCACCTTCCCAGCCAGATTGTGCCTCACCCCCAATCCCAGAGCCTCCTTTATAGAAATTCTGGAGCTGTAGTGCCTCTTCTCACATCCAGCAGGGAACCATGACTCAGGGCTGGGCAAACTGGCACAAAAACCCTTTGGTTCATCCAAGCCAGCTGTCCCTGGGTCCCAAGTCTCTTTTGCGGATCCATTTGCATGCAATTTGCACTTTGCTACAAACCTTGGCTTCCCCTTTAAAGGGCCAGTGCCTCTCTTTCCCATCTCATCCTCATCTCTTAACCAGTCACCAAGAAAAGTGGGCTCTGATGATGAAAAAGAAGCAGGGGGGTCCCTACTCAAAATTCATTTGTTGGCCAGATACCGTGCTCACACCAGTACTCTGGGAGGCCAAGATAGGAGGATTGCTTGAGGCCAGGAGTTCGAGAGCAGCCTGGGCAACACAGTGAGAGCCCGTGTCTCTACAAAAAATAAAAAAATAAATTAGCAGGCATGGTGGCATACCCCTATAGTCCCAGCTACTCAGGAGGCTGAGGCAGGAGGATCACTTGAGCCCAGGAGTTTGAGGTTACAGTGACCTATGATCATGCCACTGCACTCTAGCCTGGGTGACAAAGCAAGACTCCAAGAGTGGTTTACAATGTTCCAAAACAGATGATCAAGTCAGAGAGAGGTAGTCAAATAATTGAGTATGTGGGTTGTTAAAGCAACATTGATTCTTGCTGTCACATTGTCTCTTAAAAAAATAATAAAAATAAAATCCATGTATTGAGAGTCCAAAATTCCTCTATGGAAGCACAAGCTGCCTTTGAGAACTGGAGGATATGGATATGTCCTGCTTCCCTCCATCCCCAAGAACAGCTCATAGAAATAGGAAAGGGGTACACCCCCATACCCCTAAGTCTTCCAGACTAGAGACTGAGCTGGTGGCATAGGGGAAGGACTGGGGTCTGAGGACCTATACTCTCAGCCTAGGAGCCAGCTCCTTAGGGAAGAGCCCAGAAATTAGAACTCCCTGCAAGCTCAGATGGAGTGACCTGTTCATAAAGCACATGGCCAGATACTAAAGTTCCTTAATAGATGAACGGTGAGTCCCACTCCCTGACCTGGGAGGCAGGAGAGGCCTCATGTGACCACAATTTGGGGACTGGCATTGCCTTGGCTTCATGGCACAGAGGAGACCCACACACACTCCTTCCCCTGCCAGGGAGACTCCAGGCTGAGAAAAGGACAAGTCCTCAGGTTTGAAGATGTCTCCTCATCAAAATACTTCTACATCACTCTTCATTTTATCCTTGACACACTAGCTGAGAGGCTGCCTGGAGGGTCCTGGGCCCTTGTTTTAGGGCACATAAAAATGAAGACCTCATCACCAAGGGAAGGCCCCTGCATCAGGTCTAACTAACCTGCACCAAGCCACGCCGCACACCAGACCACTCCAGCTTGACCACTGCTCCTCTGCCCAGACCCTTGATGAATAGTGCAGTCTTCTGCAGCGACTGCCACTGTTACAGCTCCACTGGCCCCGCAGCCGCCACACAGATTCCTCCAGGGATCCTCAGGACTCAGTGCACCAGAATCTCAAGGTTCCGTGTGTGTGTGTGTGTGTGTGTGTGTGTGTGTGTGTGTGTAACAGAGGAGGCATGGCTGCATTAACCCCTGTGGTCATCAGCCAATATGGCCCCCAACGATTCCCTCCTTCTTGTACCGTTTCACACTGACACCATAGGCAAGTTTTAAGTGCTTTTTTTCTGCAACTCATCTCAGCAAAGATAAATATCATTGCCTCTTATTCTAGGACATGGCAGGCTGCAGGACCCCAGTTGCACCAAACTGCCATCCCCTCCTGCCTGGTTTCCCTTCTTCATGAACCGATCAATGGGCCATAGCCAGGTTGGGATGCATGTCTTCCACAGGATGGGAACTACCTCCAGCTGATCAGGTACATGGCCTTGGAAATCATCCTACACTTTAGAGTCAACAAAGGCTGTTCCCATATGTGCCCCGAGCTCCTCCAGGTTTCTCCATCCTATGGACACAAATGAGGTGGCATTAACAGGGAAAACACACTTTATGGGCTTTTGCCCCCGTCCACAGACTAAGGGTGCTCCAGGGCCCCTCGATTTATCCCAGTTATTTCTGAATAACTGGGATATCTTACATCTGCTTAGCACGGGTCCCCTCCTAGAGAGCTATGGCCTTAGAAGCCACTTGGGGGCAGTACCTCACCACTGCCCCTGCCAGAGTGCCCTGATGACCAGCACTATGGACCCTCCTAAATTCCATCTGTTCTCCCCCTATAGCCTCCAAGTTGGCAACCTGAGACCGTAGTAGGTCTGCGTATCACGCAGAAATGGGAGAAGGACCCTTGTAACGGATTCTGTTGGTGCCCTGCCCAGATTCCTCTCCTTGGCCACTGCACCCACCCACCAGCTATTGCTAAGATCTCCCCCAAAAAGTAATTGACACAGAGGTGCAAAAAAATCTGTCCTGCTTACCCCAACGGGGGACAGCTCAGTGGCCGATCCACACCCCAGAGCTTCCCCTGGATCAGGCTGAAGTCAGACCCCAGCTGAGACCACTTCATGCTTAGCATCTTCCCTGCCCTGGCCTGCTTCATTCCCTCCCTCTTATGTCTCTCTAAGAGTACTCGCTCAATAAATCACCTGCTCAAGAATCCTCAGCTCAGCCTTTCACTCTAGAGAAGAAAACATACCCTTCTTCCCAAGTTTGTGTCTGGAACCCTGTCCCAACCTTGCTTCGGCCTCAGAATCTCGTGAAATCAGCTCCTGCTTCTGCCTACAACCCTCTCTGTGTGCCCTGGGGGCAGTTACATGGAGACCCGATGAGAGAACAGACACCCCTCTGTGTTTCTCCACTACACTCCTCATTCCACCCTTCTCTCCCCCAGGAGCCCACCCACCAGCCACCGCCTGAGCCCTTTCCCCACTGCAAAGCTGCCTTCCTGCCAGATTCCACCCCCAGGACTCCCACTATGTATGGTGAATGTATTTGACCTTCAAAACCATTCTGTTCCATCAGTATTAAGTCTACTATTTTTTCTAGTGGAGAAGCCAGAAGCAATTTACTGCAAAGCCAATGCAGCTTAAGCTCACTTGCATGGGCCCCTTCCAAAGCCCTGCAATTTCGTAATCATAGTTTTTATTCTTCTGCTTGAGGAGGGCTCCCAAATTGTATCAGCCTCAGGCCCCATAAAACCTAACTCTACCCTTGGAAAAATGGAAGCTCTGAAAGGTGAAGTGATTTGTCCCACGACACAGGCCTGATGAGCAACAGAAGCAGAAGTTGACCCAGGTTTGCTGCCTCCCAAGTTCTTTTCCCGTCCTCCATCCTATGATCCATCCCTGCAACTCCCCTGGGCCTACTGCAGCAGCCTCCAGGATCCAGCCCTTGGCTTCCCTCTACCTCCAGCACATAGCCTTCCCAGTTGCCAGCCATCAGCCCCTCCTCTGCTCTGGCACAGTATTGTGGGAGCTTGGCAGGCCAGAGTGGGTTTGGCAGAGCTACATTTAAATATCAAGGTAGAAGAGTGTCTGCATGTATACCATCAATGGATGCAGACACCCACAGAGCCTATGGTAGCTGCAAGTTGCCCCTACATTTGCCTGTGTTTTCTCCATCAGCTGAGTAGCAGGCTGTTAGGATACCTGTCTTGGGAGCACTGCAGAAGTTAGACTGTGTATCAGTTAGCTCTTGCTGTGTAACAAAACATGCCAAAACTTAGTGGCCTAAAACAACAACTATTGATTTAGCTCACAGTTCTGCAGGTCAGCAATTTGGGCCATGCTCTCCTGGGCAGTTTGATCTCAGCTGAGCTCCCTTTGGGCATATGCAGTCAGCTGCCAGGTTGGCTGGGAACTGGAGTCAGCTGGTACATCTCATCTCTGTTCCACAGAGTCTCCCATCCTTCAAATCAAGATCGTCTGCCTGATGGCTTGGCAGAATTCCATGAAAGCAAATGGATTTGAGCAAGGCCTCTTGAGGCCTAGGCGCAGGACTCAACAGCTTTACTGTCAGCACATTCTATGGCCCAAAGCAAGTGACAGGCCAGCCATGATGGTTAATGTTGTCATCTTAGCTGGGCCATAGTGCCCAGGTATTTGATCAAACATTATTCTGGATATTTCTGTGAAGGTGCTTTTTCTTTCTTTATTTTTTTTAATGCAGTTAACAGTTCAGTTGGGGACCTTTGAGTAAAATAGATGACCCTCTATTAGGTGGTTGGGCCTCTTCCAATCAGTTGACAGCCTACAGAGAACAAAGACTGATCTCCCCCCAGCAAGAAGGAATTCTCCAGCTGAATGCCTTTGGACTGAAATGACAACTCTTCCTTGAATCTCCAGCCTGCCAGCCTACTCTGCAAATTTTGGACTTACCAAGCCTCCATGATTACATGAGCCAATTCCTTAAAATAAATGTCCTTCTATATATATACACATCCTGTTGGTTCTGTTTCTCTGGAGAACACTGACTAATACACCAGCCCAGATTCAAGGGGTGGGGAACACACTCCACCTCCTGATGGGAGGAATGGCAAAGTCACATTGCAAAGCATGAGGGCACAAGGAGGGGACTAACACAGTCACCTCTGCTCATGAGCGACCACAGGCTGGCTTTAGGAATGGGTGGGTGTGGGCAGGGTAACCTGCAGCTCTTGGTGTCCACCTTTGAGCATCGAGCTTCTGCTGGGCCAGCCAGGTGGAATTCCCAGTCATCTCCACCTCCTTTTTGGTATCAAAGACTGGGAAGAAAACTGTTTCCACGACTCTGTGAGCAGAAAGGGGGGAACCTCACAACTGGATTTGAGAGTATGTCTTTGCCCTCAAACTAGGGGCTTCCTGAGGCTGTGCTCTTTTCTACCATCCAACTCAGGACTCAATGTAGAATGGAGGCTGGGCATGGTGGCTCTGGAAACTCTAATACCGGCATTGTGGAAGGCTGAGGTGGGAAGATCACTTGAGGCCAGGAGTTTGAGACCAGCCTGGGCAACATAGTGAGACTCCCAGTCTCCACAAAAAAAATTTAAAACTTAAGTGTGGTGGTGCATGCCTGTAGTCCCAGCTACTCGGGAGGCTGAGGCGGTAGGATCACCTGAACCCTAGAGCTGAGGCTGCAGTGAGATAGGATCCTGCACTCCAGCCTGGGTAACAGAACAAGACCTTGTCTCTGGGCAAAAACACGAAAAACCCTATAGGCTGGAGGAAGCGTTTTATTCCCCCTACAGGACCCAACAGGTTCTGAGAGCAACCAAATGTCTAATTCTCCCACGTGTCCCCCAAGATTGTTGACACTCTAGCTGGGACATACGGGGCCCCCATAAGTAATTCCTAGATGAACACACACAGCCTTCAGTGCTGAGGCCTGAGACATCTGCTCCCAGCTATGCAAACAGTCCCACGTCACAACTAACCATGCAAGGGGCAGGGGGCTCAGACTTGCCCAGCCCACCTTTCGGTCCTCTGGACTGCCCTCCATGCTGGCTCAGTCCTGTTCTGTCTACCTCTGCTCAGCACGCCTTCCTCCCACACAGCTTGACAAGTTGGCCACCTCCCAGCTCCCCACCCCACCCTGTCTCCTGCTTACCCTCCTCCCCATGCTCTGCGAGTCTTACATAGTCTTACACTTGGTAAGAAGCCAAGCCTTGCCACATGTGCATGTCCTGCAGGCTTCCCTTCCTGCAGGTATGGCTTTGGGCTCTGGACTCTGGGTAGACCCAGGAAGTGGGGGTCATCAGGGGAGACAATGTAGCAGGCAGGCATGTAGGGCAACCAGAGTCAGCCTATGAGATACCAAGGGCAGGTCCTCTTATGCCCAGAAGATTCATAACAACGGCATAAAAAATAGTGGAAGACCCTGGACCCACATGCTCTGAGCTCCAGCCCCTCATTGTCACAAACTGCAGTGTGATTTGGGACTGTCACTTTGCTTCTCAGTTCCCCCATCTGTCAAGTGGAGATGATAACCATTGATAGTGGATCCTATAGGCATCCTGCTCACTCCTTGAGGCCTCACCACCTCAGGGAGCTCCCGCTGCCTTCCACCTGTGAATCTGCATGTCTGCACCTGAGAGCTTTCTTTCCTAAACTGCAGAAGGCCAGGCAGCATGCTGGAAGTGCCAGGGAATTAACAACCCTTAGCAGAGCCCTTCTTCTAGCTATAACTCACAGGAGTTGATGGATAAATACCCCAGCTCCCTCACTCCTCAGGCAAGATAACTCTGGGGCACGTGTTCTACTCTGATGCCCAGATTTCCCCCGCAAGACTGAACTCCAGTTGCCCACAGTGGTAACTAGCTTGATAATACACCCCTTGTGGGCTGCCTTCCTTCCCCATTTCACAGAACTACTTGTGTTCAAAGCCTTGTCTCACGGTCTGCCTCCAGGGCAGTCCAAACTAAGACATCATCCCAGCCCTGTCGCAACACCATTAGCCCGTGTGTGATCGAGATGATGGCAGAGGCTACCAGCAGGTGTTTGAGCCCAGGGCTGGGTGAGGGTCTTCCCAGCCCTTATCTCTACTCTGGACCCACAGGAAACTCCACAAGAAAGTGTCAGAGGATGTTGGTGGGACTTCTTCTGTTGTCCTGGAATGGCAGCCAAGGCCTGAAACTGAGGTCAGGAGATGCTTGGGACCCATATTCTAGAATGAGCAACATGTGAGTCACCAACAGCTGAGTGCCCAACTCCTCCTTTAGTGAGAGGCAGTGCAACCTGCTCCTCCATGCATTCCACCCAAAGAGAGGACTGGGGAGGGGAAAGGCGGGCCATAGTGAATTTCATTCTCCAGGATGACAGGATTTCCCTCTGTCTCCCTGAAGCAAGGGATGAAGGGATTCCGAGCTAATCAGAGGAATAGTCAATGTGCCCAATTGCACATCCCTCCAGACCAGGCTTAGACCTTTTGTTGAGACCAGCTAATTCTGTGTCCTGTGCATTCTACAATTCTAAGTCCCTCCCTTCTGTCCACTATGATGACCAACAACTGGGCTCTCATCGTCTCCCACCTGGTAGCTCCAGCAGTCTCCTCTCCAGCCCTTCTGCCTCTCTCAGCCTCTTGTCTGTTCCAATCCATCCCTCTAAAGTGGATCTTTCAAAACCAGGCTGGCAAACTACAGCCCATGAACCAAACACTGCCTGTGGCCTGTTTTTGTGTAGCCTATGTGCCATGAATGGTTTTTACAGTTTTTACATTTGTTTTTAAACAAAACAAAGAAAACTGTGTGACAGAGATGTTTGCCAGCCTCTGTTCTAAAGCATAAATCTCATCCTGCTTAAAGGAGTGGCCTCCCTACCAGCCTCATCCCACACCATTCACCCCTACACACCCTAAGCCTGTCCTCTGTGTCTGATACACCCTCCCTCCCTCCCTGGTATGCCTGGTCAACTACCTACACTTTCACAGTCACTCTAAATATCCCTTAGGCCTAGGCTTATTGGCCTCACATCATGCTTTGACTGCCCCTGCTCTGAGCTAGAGGGCAGAGGTTGGCCCCCGCAGGTTCCTGTATAGACTGGATGACAGCTGATTTTGACCAAAAGGTGGAAGATGAAAGAGCAGGAAGAAATGAGATTCTTCCAAGAGTCTCTGACCCTAGCTGGGTCTATCCAGGGCTCCAAGCTCCCAGTAGGTACATCCACCATGGTTCCAGTCCTAGCAGGTGGTGATCTGAGAGCTCCTCACCGCTCTCCTCATCCTACCCAGGGTGATTGGTAACAGCTTCCTGCTGTTGCTAATCTCTGGGTTGCATCTAAGTAACTTCTCAGCTCTTCCATTACCCACGTAACCCATTCCCTGCGTGTCATTACCCCTCTTTAAACATTGGCTTTTGGCTTTTGTTTTCCCCGTAGGACTCTGACAAATATGCCTTTTTTTCAGGTATCCCCTGACCCCTAGATTAGCTCAGGCCCCTACTACTGCCCAATGACATCGTTCACTCATTGCTTCAATAGGTTATTTATTGGATGCCTATGGCCAAGGGTCAGCAAACACAGCCAGCTGTTTTGTAAATAAAATTATATTGGAACACAACCACACCCATTCATTTACATATCGTACAGTTGCTTTCAAAGGCAGAGTTGAATAACTGCACCAGAGACCCACATGTGGCCCATGACACCTAAAATATCCACTCTCTTGTCCTTTTCAGAAAAAGTTTGCCAGCCCTTGTTTTAGGTACCCAAAATGTAGTCCTGGGACCAACAGCAACTTCTTCACCTGGGAGCTCGTTGGAACCACAGAATCTCAGACCCACAACGAGACCTGCTGATTCGGAGTCTGCATTTTTACAAGGTCCTCAGTTGATGTGTGTGCACATTGAGGTGTAAGAAGTGCTGCCTTAAGAAGTCACCCCCTTATCATAGCTCTCATCCCATTCATTGGTCATCATTAACAAATTAATTTTTTTGTCTTCCCTTCCAGAGGCAAGAGCAAGGATTATTAGTGTTGGTCTTCTTCGGAACCCCAGTGCTGATAAGTTGGCTGGCCCAGAGAAGACGAATGCAGTGACCCTCTGACAAATATATTGTTGAAGAGAGTCATGGAAGCTGAAGGAAGAGAGAGTTTCAAAAACAGCAGTTACCGTTTTTCACATATGAGACTGGCAAAGATAAAAAAGTTTGTTAACACACGGTGTTGGGAGAGCACAGGAAATAGGCTCTCTCTCACATGTTGTTAGCACAACCTCTCTGGGGAGGTAAGTTTGGCAATATTCATCAAAATTACAAATGCACAGACTCTTTGACCCTGCATTTCCACTTGTAGGCCTTTGCCAAGTGATTAATATATGTACTGCACAAGAGCAAAAGGTTGGACAAAACCAAGTATTCATCAACAAGGAATCTGCTTGGTAAGTTGTGGTGTATAATAAAACTGTGCAACTTTAAAAAAGAAATCCATCACTGAAAAATATCTGAAAAATTAAAAAAAAAAAAAAAAAGAAGGAGCCAGTGCAATCTCCAAGGTACGTTGCATAATAAAGAAAGATGTGTACTAGTACACATCAGATAATAACCAAAACAGGGCAGGGAGACAGAAGAGGAACTATATATTTGCCTGTATATTCATAAAATGTCTCTTAAAGGATGTACACAAAAAAACAACAACACTGGCTGGCCATGGGAAGGGATGGCTGGGTTGCTGGGGGCAGGGATATGAGGAGACTTTTCACTACCTACTCTTTGGTACTTTTTGAATTAAAAACAGACTGGGGAAAAAAAACAGGAAAAGCTACAGAAAATACAAAATGTGTACAAAAAAAATACAGAAACGTACACACACAAAAAAATAGAGGAAAGTAGAGGCATGTTTTAGACGTCCAGTCTAGAACCTTCCTACTCAAAATGTAGTCCACAGACCAGCAGCATCAGAATCACCTGAAAACTAGTTAGAAATGTAGAACCCCAGGCCCTACTCCAGATAAACTGAGTCAAAATCTGCATTTTTAACAAGAGCCCCAGGGAATTAGCGCAGGCGTTACTAACTGTGACACACCGATCCAGGCAACCAGAGAACTCACTTGTAGCAGCTCCACCTGGTTTCCATGGTCTGCTACTAATAAAACAGCTGCCTTTCCCCCCTAACTGGGGCTCTGTCCCGGTGAGACATCAGGGCCCAGGCTGTTCCCATTAAGGGGCAGGTTTCCAGCAGCTCCTCCCAGGCCCTGGCTGGCCCGAAGCCCAGTGCCCTGGCGGGTCCCCAGCCAAGGAGACAGCTCACTTCCTCCTTCTGGAGCCGCTGGGACTGCTCAGAACGGAAACATTGGAGAGGTCTCCACTCCCCCAGATGTAAACTCTTTCCAACACGAATAAAGATGTATGTGTCTGGCTCAGGTTTATTTATAAATGGTATTTATCTATCTGCCAGGACCTCTGGGTACCTGGTACCTGACCTAGTGGTGGAAGAGAAGTCAGCGGAGGGGTAGCAATGGGCAGGCCCCATTGGAGAAGGAGGGAGAAAGAAAGGCCAGGAGCTGGGCTGCTGCCTCTGCATCCTTGATCCTCTGGAAAAACTCCAGGCCACATCTGGAGGCCACATCTGGAAGCAGTGACTCTGCTGGACTTTTCAGAGCAGCAAGAAGGAGGAGCGAGGGAGGAGTGGGGAGCTGCACTGACGTCGGTCCAGACCACCCAGGACTTTGCAATTGGAGGACTAGGCAGGGAGACTAATTTTCCCACCACCCGACTCCCAACTCTCTGACCCCAAGGACTGGGCAAGCACAGAGCCAGTCATGACTGAATGCCCCCCACTGCTGCTGTCCTGAACTCCCCATGCCTCAAGCCGGAGGGACTCTGTACAAGCCAAGCCCTCTCTGTTTCTGGATCCTTCTATTCCCACGGCCTCCTAACAGTTGCAGCCTCTCCCACAAACAGAACCCCAGGTCCTCCTCTTCTCCCTTCACATTTCCTCCTAGGTCCCTCATCTGTGTGGCTAATGTCTCTTCAATTTAAAACAAAACCATAAAACCACTAAAAAGTGTACAGTCCAAAAGAGTTTACAAAATGCTTCGCCACAGTGAGCCCTATTTCACTCCCTCCCAGCCCTGCAAGGTTCGCATTCCTACCCCTACTCTGCATAGCAGAACACTTAGTGAGTGCAGGAAATGCTAATGGGCTTCACAAGACCTTTCAGCCTGTAGGTAGCAGAGGCCTCTGGACTCAGGTGCACACCTGGGCTGCCGTCTGCCAAGGCCTCAAGGCCTTCTCAGTGCAGGACTCCACATCAGACAGGCCTTGATCCCATCAGCCGCCTGCTGACATCTCCAGTTCTGCGAATGGTTATGTTCCTTGCCTGGCCCACAGGCCCCAAATTCAGATACCTATTTCCTCCCCATCCCCTCTATTGTTCGCCACCTCAGGCCTACCCCATCTCAGAGTCTGGGCAAACATCCTATCCCTATCTTCCCAAACACTACTGTCATTGTTTCCCAACCAGCCCCCCGTCCCTGGGGCTTTTCTCCTAGTATTTCATGTTCCACAGCTGCCCTCAAACCCTCCAGGATAGACTAATTACAAAAGTGGCCCCAATCCCCAGAGTTCAAGGCCAGCCTGGGCAACACGGCAAGACCCCACTCTACAAAAATAAAAATTAAAAAGTTAGCTGGGGCATGGTGGTATGCCTACAGTCCCAGCTACTCAGGAGGCTGGAGTGGGAGGATCACTTGAGCCCAGAAGTTTGAGGCTGCAGTGAGCTATGATTATGCCACGTGCTCCAGTCTGGGAGTGAGAACTTGTCTCTTAAAAAAAAAGGAGGTGGGCCACAGTGATTCCTCTTCCTGTAACCACACCCTTTGCAGTGTGACTTTGTATCTTCTCCCATCAAAAGGCACAGTCTATTCTCCTACTCCTCGAATCTAGGCTGGCCTCATGAGTTGCTTTGGCAGTTCAAATACGGTAGAAGTGAAGTGGTAGAATTGCCCATTCTGAGCCTAGGCTTCAAGATGCCATATGCATTTCCTCTTCTCTTGGAAATCTGTCTTGCCACCATGTAAGTAAGCCCAGGCTAGCTTTCTGGAGGATGAGAAACCATGTGGCCCAGGCACCCCCATTGGCCCAGCCAACAGTCAGGCCAACCAACCATATGATGAGGCTGTTCTGAATCCACCAGCCCCTCCACCCCCTGCCAATCAGCTGACTGCAGATGCATGAGGAAATTCCATGATCAGCTAAGCCAGCCCAGACCAGAAGGACCACCCAGCAGGCCCATAAATGAGTAAGAAATAATAAATGGTTGTGGTATTAAATTACTAAATTTTGAGATGGCTTGTTGCACGGTAAAAGCAAACTGGTACACCCTTTGTCCTCTATTCACAGAAGTCCTCTTAAGGACTTCTGAGGCAAAATTCTTCATATTCAAACCTTCCTAAAGAAGTTGCTCTCTCAGTTTCATTTCCCACAACTTCTCCGAAACCTGGTTGCCACAACGTCCCCTGAAATCTCTTGTTCTTTCCATCCTCAAACCTTTGTTTATATAAGTCTTTCCTCCTCTCATTGCCCCTGCCCCTACCCTGAATACCATCACCCTCCTTCCTCCACCTCTCAAAATCATGTCTTTAAATCCCTGACTGTGGGTCTACCTCACTGTGAAGGGTTTCTTGTTCCAACTCCTTTGACACACTTAGTCTCAAACTTTGCTCTAATTTGCTGTGCTTGCCAAAGAAGCACTTAATCATATCTTTATCCTGCCTTGTTTTATCCTGCATTGGTTCATTATAGACCAGGAAGGGCAGCTAAATTTGACCTCATATGTCTCCGCAGACAAGTTAGTAGAAAATGCCTAGAGAGCATCTGGCATCTGCTAGAAAGACTGCCATGATTGATTCATAATGTCTGCCATAAGCACAGGCAGGTCAGTACTGGCCATTCCTGATCTAGTGCAGGGATTCTTGCACTTTTTGTATTGTTAACCTTATAGACTCCCTCTAAGAATATTTTTAAATGCATAAAATAAAATATATCAGATTACAAAGGAAGCCAATTACATTGAAATATTGTTATCAAAATATTTTAAAATGTGTAATATAAGAATATATATGCTTTAGGCCAGGCACGGTGGCTCACGCCTGTAATCCCGACACTTTGGGAGGCCGAGACGGGTGGCTCACCTGAGGTCAGGAGTTCAAGACCGGCCTGACCAACATGGTGAAACCTCGTCTCTACTAAAAATACAAAAATTAGGTGGGCAAGGTAGCGGGCACCTGTAATCCCAGCTACTCAGGTAACTGAGGCAGGAAAATCTGAGATCACGCCCATTGCGCTCCAGCCTGGGTGACAGAGCAAGACTCCGTCTCAGAAAAAAAAAAAAAGGAGAGAGAGATTTATGTGTTTCTTCCTTAATACACTACATACCAAGATATCTAACAGAGGGCCTAATAATTACTGCAATCTTGAAGTATAAATGAGCTTTCAAAATATCTATAACTGTCATGTGATGTGAAAATATCTGTGGCTTCTGCTGGTGACAAAGACTCAGCTCTGTGGTTTGTTGCCTAAATCCATAACTGAAGGTAGTGCTCAATTTAATTTAGAGCAACGTATAGATGTCATTTTTTTCAACTAAGTTTTATTGACCCTTTTACACTGTATCTGCAGGACCCTAAATTAAGAACCCCTAGTCTAGCCTGTAATATACTTGAAAAGCAAGGGCTGCTAGCAAATTATTTCATAACCTTGAGAAGGATCAAGGCTGGACCACAGTGGGTGATCAGGGGTGATGTAAAATAGTCACCCCTGTGACTATGCAGAGGCTGCAGGGCAGGAGGCGGTAAGGATTTTCACTGCACCTTTTCTGCTCCATTCGGTGGCCTCATCAGTTTCCTTCCTCTCACAGGAACAAGGCCACGGCACCTATTAGGAACCTCATCCTTGCATTCCAGGCCCAGGGAAATCCCTCCAGGCCCCCTTCCTCCCTGTGTCCTGGAACCTGCTGTCCTTCCCACTGTCTTGCTTGGGCCTCTGCCCAGCCCTGGAGAAGCAACATGGCAGAGCCTCTGCCAGCTCAGCTCCCTTTCCAGCTTCCCCCTCCTTTAGCCCCACACTGGAGTAGGGGGGCCAGGTCTCCTCCACCCCCTATCCTTCCCAGGACCTCAGAACACCAACCCTGGGTGCCTTGTTACCTAGATATGGAATTCAGCCCAATCCTTGCAGTGTCCCTTTGAAGTGGAGACACCCCCCTCACATTAAAGATGAATGTGTTAGACACATTTGGGACACCACTTCAAAAACCTCTTGAGCAGATCTCTTCCTCCAGCCAGTGCTGAGCTGACCCGGGGCTTCTCCACTACAGCTGGGTGGGACACCCAAGGGAACATGCTTGGCCGTCATGCACGAGCAGCCCAGCAATGTGGGAGGAACTAAGAAGCTGTGGGATGTCCCTTGACCAACAGTGGTGAGAACCAGTGAATAATGCTTCTGCCTTTTGTCCCCCAGCAGGGAGTTCTGAGACATTTCAGAAAACTCCACGAAAGGCTGTGATGGCCCCCACCTCCAGACACCCATAGATAGCACTGGCTAACTTGGTGTCACATCTTGTATTGGCTCTCCCTCATTTCTTGATTCAATGTCCCTGTCCCTCCCTCCTGCTCCCCAAGATCACGTTCTTAAATAAACTACCTGTTCACAAGCCTTTGTCTCAGGTTCTGCTGGCAGGCAGCAGGAGGGGCGGGGCGAGGAACCAAGCTAAGAGAACAAGGAACTAAGGATCAAAGAAGTGAAGTCACTTGCTCAAGGCCACATGGCGTGTAAGTGTGATCTATTTGATTTGATATATTTGATCAAATAATAAACACACATTTAGCTTTCGGCTGGAGCCGCCATCTTCCAGTAATTCGCCAAGATGATGAACACAGAGGAAAAGAGGAGAGGCACCCGATATATGTTCTCTAGGCCTTTTAGAAAACATGGAGTTGTTCCTTTGGCCACATATATGCGAATCTATAAGAAAGGTGATACTGTAGACATCAAGGAATGGGAACTGTTCAAAAAGGCATGCCCCTCAAGTGTCACCATGGCAAAACTGGAAGAGTCTGCAATGTTCCCCAGCATGCCGTTGGCATTGTTCTAAACAAACAAGTTAAGGGCAAGATTCTTGCCAAGAGAATTAATGTGCATATTGAGCACAGGAAGCACTCTAAGAGCCGAGATGGCTTCCTGAGACGCGTGAAGGAAAATGATCAGACAAAGAAAGAAGTCAAAGAGAAAGGCACCTGGGTTCAACCAAAGCGCCAGCCTGCTCCACCCAGAGAAGCACACTTTGTGAGAACCAATGAGAAGGAGCCTGAGCTGCTGGAACCTCTTCCCTATGAATTCAGGCATAATAGGTGTTAAAAAAATAAAAGACCTCTGGACTGTAAAAATGTTTCTCTTCGTTGAGTAGAAGTGTGGTGTCCTTTCCCCCAAAGAAATATTTAAAGCAAATTTTAATTGTGTCCTAATTCATTATGTAATGTCTTTACTATTCAGATTTAATGTATTTCTTGCTGAAAGACGTTAAGTAGCTTTTTGTGCAACAAATTACTCAATTGGTAAGAAAATGGCCAGGTATTATGTATGAAAGTTTCGTACTGGTTTGATGATAGTCCCTCTAAGTCATCAAGGAAGAAATAAAATAATTTACAAATAAATAAATAAGTACACTTTTTTTTTTTTTTTTTTTTTGAGACGGGTGTCTCGCTCTGTCGCCCAGGCTGGAGTGCAGTGGCGCGATCTCGGCTCACTGCAAGCTCCGCCTCCCGGGTTCACGCCATTCTCCTGCCTCAGCTTCCCAAGTAGCTGGGACTACAGGCGCCCGCCACCACGCCCGGCTAATTTTTTTGTATTTTTAGTAGAGACGGGGTTTCACCATGTTAGCCAGGATGGTCTCGATCTCCTGACCTCGTGATCCGCCCGCCTCGGCCTCCCAAAGTGCTGGGATTACAGGTGTGAGCCACCGCACTGGGCCATAAATACACATTTAATATTGCTTGCTTGATTGACTGACTGATATTTCTCCCAACATAGCTCTGAGGACCCAAATGCACAGAGCATGAATATGTGTAAAAAAATTATATTTAATTTTTAATTATCTAAGTTATACTGGAATACAGTTTCCATGTAGAAAATTTAAAACATTACAGATAAGTTTACAGTCCCTTTGGCTGTCACCTCCCCAATCCCCAGTTCCTCCCAGGCAACCACTTCTCTATGCATTTATAGACATGCTTGGGATTGTTTTGCATGTATATGTTTATGTATTCAACATACATTCTGCAACATTTTCATTTGCCAGTTTGTCTTGGAAACACCCGACAACAGTAGAATGGATACATAAATTGTGGTATACACACGCAATGGAATAATACACAGCTGCTAGAATGAACAAACTATAACTACACATATAATTTTGATAAACCTCACCAATATGATGCTGAGCCAAAGAAACTAGACACAAAAGAGAACATACTGTTTGAATCATTTATACAAAATACAAACACAAGAAAAACTGAAAGCAAAAAAACTAAAACCAGAAAGCAAAAAACAACTTAGGTCAGGCACAGCGGCTCATGCCTGTAATCCCAGCACTTTGGGAGGCCAAGGCAGGAGGATAGCTTGAAGCCAGGAGTTCGAGACCAGCCTAGGCAACATAGGAAGACCACACCCCCCCCCCGCCCACCTCTCTACAAAAAAAAAAATTTTAATAGCCAGGCTTGGTAGCATGCACCTGTGGTCCCAGTTACTCAAGAGGCTGAGGTGGGAGGATCACTTGAGTTCAGGAGGTTGAAGCTACAGTGAGCCCCACTGTGCTCCAGCCTGGGCAACAGAGCAAGACCCTGTTTCAAAACAAACAAACAGCTAAAACTCGGCAAGGATATCGTGGACTATTTTCTTTAAAGAACAGAAAGGGGATTCTGGTGGGTATGGACACATGGGGACTTCTGGGGTGCTGGTAATATTCTGTTGATCTGGGTGCTGGTGACATGAGTAGGTTCAGTTTACAGTTTACAGCCAGGAAGCTGCACACTTGTGATGTGTGTCCTTTTTGCATGTCCATTCCCTATAGGAGATGGCATGCCATCACTGTTCAGACAGCCTCAAGAGTTCACAGCCTAGAGGGGAGAAGAGCAGGGGAACAAATTGGGCAGTAAATCATGACAAGACTATGCCAAAGGCCTGAACAATGTCAGCAGGAGCTCAAAGGAAAATGCTCACTTGTCTTTTAGGGGATAGAAAAGAATGTCCAGAATGAGTGACTGGGAAGATGACCCCCTAAAAGATGGCTGGGTGTTCACCACGTGAAAGGGAGGAGAAAAGAAAAAAGGAAGTAGAAAGGGCATTGCAGTCAGAGAAACTGAGCAAGGCATGGAGTGCGGGCAGCCTGAAATGTTAAGGGTCCCGACTGTCTGCATCACTGAGATCTAGGGCATGCAGTGAGATCCCCCAGAGGAATGATGCCGCCAGAGAGGTTGGCACAGCTGGAATGATGGGAATAGGCCAAGCTGAAAGACCTGGAAATGATCCTAAGGTAATGGGAAGCCATGGAAGAGTTAAGATCAGGGAGGACATGATTGGATTCGAGATCAAGAAAGGTAAACCGACTACAGAATAACATGGGCCACGCAGGAGATAGGACTACGAAGACTAGGGATGAGAGGTGGGAGGGGTAAGCTAATGCATTCACCCCAACAGGAGAAATAGATGATGAAGGAAGGAAGTGACAGTGGGGTTGGAGAACCGGAGCCAATGCTAGCAGATACTCAGGAGACTTGCTGATAGATTGGGCAAATAGAGTGGAGTAGAGGGAAATTAGTGCCTAAATTCCAGCTTGGGTGACTGATGCCTGGCCCACATCCTGGGCATGGGAGAGGCTGCTGAATTCTATTGACTAAAATTCAAAACGTGGTTCCCCCTTTGACCCAGCACTTATGCAACATACTAAACAGCAGTAAAAAGAATGAGAAAAAAAGGAGGCAAGTCCATACGTGCTAACGTGGGAAGACCTCCATGTCACGTTGTACAGGAAAAGAGCAAGTTTCAAGAGAGCATGTACAATATGCTCCTATTTGCATTTGAGAAAAGACTACACACATACCAGACAAAGATCTGGTATTTTTCTTAATTAGAAAAAAGTAGGCCAGGCGCAGTGGCTCACACCGGTAATCCAAACACTTTGGGAGGCCGAGGCAGGTGGATCACAAGGTCAGGAGATCAAAACCATCCTGGCTAACACAGTGAAAGCCTGTCTCTACCAAAAATACAAAAAAATTAGCCGGGCGTGGTAGCACATGCCTGTAGTCCCAGCTACTCGGGAGGCTGAGGCAGGAGAATCACTTGAACCCAGGAGGCCGAGCTTGCAGTGAGCCGAGATCACGCAATTGCACTCCAGCCTGGGTGACAGAGCGAGACTCCATCTCAAAAAAAAAAAAAAAAAGAAAAAAGAAAAAAGTAACTACATACAAAACTAAGTATTGCTGTATGTACAGTAAGTAAAGTTCTTTTAAAAATCTGATTTTTTCAAGGCAAATATTTTCAAATATTACTTTTGTAATTTGAAACTATATGTAACACACAGATAACAGGGGCTACCACTGAAGAGGGAAGAGGGTTTGGGGGATAAATGAGAGAAGTCTTTATTTATATTGCCTGAATTTTTTACAAACACCAATTTCTTCCTGTTTAATTTAAAATAAGTATATTGACTGGGTGACAGAGCAAGACTCTGTCTCAAAAAATTTTTTAAAAAAAATTTTTAAGTAAAAATAAAATAAGTATATTTTACAAATGAGAAATCCAGGCCTGGTGCCCCCTCCAGCCCCACCAGGTCCTTAATCTAGCCCCAAAAAATAATGAAGGTAAGAGAAAGTCAAAGGCAGAATTCTGTTTTTTTGGTTTTGTTTTTTTTGAGACAGAGTCTCACTCTGTTGCCCAGGCTGGAGTGCAGTGGCATGATCTCAGCTCACTGAAGCCTCCACCTTCCAGGTTCAAGTGATTCTCCTGCCTCAGCCTCCCGAGTAGCTGGGATTACAGGTGCCCACCACCACACCCGGCTAATTTTTGTATTTTTAGTAGAAACAAGGTTTCACCATATTGGCCAGGCTGCTCTCAAACACCTGACCTCAAGTGATCTGCCCGCCTTGGCCTCCCAAAGTGCTGGGATTACAGGCATGAAGCACTGTGTCGGGCCCAAAGGCAGAATTCTTATCCTGATGTCAATAAACTTGGGTGGAAAAAAAAAGTTTCCCCATTATTTTCACTGCCTCTAACTGAAATATGGTATTTCCTTGCATTATGAATGTAGGCAATAGATGACAGTAGTATTTAGCAGTGTCTGCAACTTTGTCACCAACAAAAATCACAGCTATTTCCCTAACATATTAGAGTTATTGCAGATATCTTAAAATATCATTTATGATATTGTGAAATTGTGATAGATATTAGATCCTGTCTTAATCTGTTTGCTTCTGCTATAACCGAATACCTGAGACTGGGTAATTTATCATGAACAGAATTTATTTGGCTCACAGTTCTGTGGACCACAAAGTCCAAGAGCATGGCACCAGCGTCCGGCAAGGGCTTCGTGCTGTGTCATCTTGTGGCAAAAGGCAGAAAGGCAAGAGCGGGCAGTAACAAGAAAGCAAGAGGGGCCAAACTCACTTTTTTTTTTTTTTTTTTTTGAGACGGAGTCTTGCTCTGCCACCCAGGCTGAAGTGCAGTGGCTCCTTCTTGGCTCACTGCAACCTCCGCCTCCCAGGCTCAAGTGACTATCTTGCCACAGCCTCCCAATTAGGTGGGATTACAGGCACCCGCCACCATGCCCAGCTAATGTTTGTATTTTTAATAAAGACAGAGTTTCGGCCGGGCGCGGTGACTCACGCCTGTAATCCCAGCACTTTGGGAGGCTGAGGCGGGCGGATCATGAGGTCAGGAGATCGAGACCATCCTGGCTAACACGGTGAAACCCCGTCTCTACTAAAAATACAAAAATTAGTCAGGTCTGGTGTCAGGTGCTTGTAGTCCCAGCTACTCAGGAGGCTGAGGCAGAAGAATAGCATGAACCCGGGAGGCGGAGCTTGCAGTGAGCTGAGGTCGCACCACTGCACTCCAGCCTGGGCGACAGAGTGAGACTCCATCTCAAAAAAAAAAAAAAAAAGAGTTTCGTCATGTTGGCTAGGCTGGTCTCAAACTTCTGATCTCAAGTCATCTGCCTGCCTCAACTTCCCAAAGTGCTGGGATTACAGGCATGAGCCACCACACCCAGCCTAAACTCACTTTTATAACAACCCACTCTCATGATATAATGGCATTAATCCATTCGTGAGGGTTCTGCCTAAGGTCCCCCCTTCTTAAAGGTCCTACCTTTCAACGATGTTGCAATGGAGACTAAATTTCCAACACATGATTATGGGGGGCACATTTAAACCATAGCAGATCCACTGCTAGATTTTCTTCTTTAATGTGTTAAAAAATTCATTAGTATATATCACATTTTTAAAAAATGTTTTTAAGACAGAGTCTCTCTGTCTCCCAAGCTGAGTGCATTGAGCAATCATGGCTCACTGCAGCCTCAATCTCCCAGGCTCAAGCACTCCTGCTGCCTCAGCCTCCTAAGTAGCTGGGAGTACAGGCATGTGCCACCACTCCCAGCTAAAAAAGAAAAGAGAACGTTTCTCTCTTTTTTTTTTTTTTTGAGATGGAGTTTTGCTCTTGTTGCCCAGGCTGGAGTGCAATGGCACAATCTCGGCTCATCACAACCTCCGCCTCCCAGATTCAAGCGAGTCTCCTGCCTCAGCCTCCAAGTAGCTGGGATTACAGA
Organism: Homo sapiens; assembly: GCF_000001405.40. NCBI lineage: Eukaryota > Metazoa > Chordata > Mammalia > Primates > Hominidae > Homo > Homo sapiens. The sequence continues at coordinate 4,054,161 of NC_000020.11, read as the reverse complement.
CATGCACCACCACGCCCAGCTAATTTCGTATTTTTAGTAGAGACAGAGTTTCTCCATGTTAGTCAGGCTGGTCTTGAACTCCCAACCTCAGGTGATCCACCCACCTCGGCGTCCCAAAGTGTTGGGACTACAGGCATGAGCCACCATGCCTGGCCACACCCAGCTAATTTTTTTATTTTTTGTAGAGACAGGGTCTCACTAGGTTGTCTAGGTAGGTTAAATTTGTTTTTTTAATTGACAGATGACTTCATATGTATTTATCACATGCAACATGATGTTTTGAAGAATATATATTGTGCAATGGTTAAACGTAGCTAATTAACAAATACACCACCTCATGACATCTTGTAACTACTCATATTTATGGGATACAATTTGATGTTTCAATGCATGACCCAATCAGGATGTTTGGCATATTCGTCACCTCAGGCGTTTATCATTTCTTTGTGGTGAGAATACTCAGAAGACTCTCTTCCAGCTATTTAGTAACATACAATAACTTACCGTTAACCGTCATCACCCCACGATGCAATAAAACACCAGAACTTATTCCTCCAATCTAATTGTCACTTTGTACCCATTGACCAACCTCTCCCCATCCTCCCTTCTCCGCTCCTTTCTCAAGTCTCTGGTAAGCACTGTTCTACTCTCTGCTTCCATGATATCAACTTTTTCAAAAATTCCACATTAGTGAGATCATGTGGTATTTGTCTTTCTGTGTCTGGTTCACTTTGCTTAGCATAATGTCCTCCAGGTTCATGCATGTTGTCACAAATGACAGGGTTTCCTTCTTTTTATGACTGAATAGTATTGCATTTTGTATATAAACCACATTTCCTTTATCCATTCATTGATGGACACTTAGATTGGTTTCATAGCTTGGATATTGTGAATAGTGCTGCAATAAACATGGAAGTGCAGCTGTCCTTCCACCTTGATTTCATTTCCTTTGGATATATACCCAGTAGTGGGATTGCTGGATCTTATAAATATTAAAATATGTTAATATCTGCATTTTAGTGCAATTGGTTTCCTTTGTTATCTGGTGTATTTTACCTTATGCATTTAAGAGCATTATTCTGAAGAGTTTCATGGACTTCACCAGCCTGCTAAAGGAGTCCACAACCTGAACAAAGTTATGGGAAGGGACAGGGGTGCTCAACCCAGCCCAACCCCACATATCCTGGGACAAGAGCCCTGATCTGGGAGAAGACTGAGAAGCCAAACCCTGAGACAGCTTGCCGTCCCCAGTGAGGACCTTCCTTAGAGTGACCCAGACATGACTCTGGAAGAGGTCCAGGAGGGTTTAGAGGAAGTCCTGTGAGTTGGGACCCAGCTCTTCTCTAAAGAAAGGGCAGAGACCTTGAGGCTCAGGAGAGCCCAGAACCCAGGCAGGGCAGAATATGGGGTGAGTAAGAGGCCTCTGCAGCCAGCTGCCTGCCTACTTATCGTCCTACCTACCAGTGGTTGAGAAGCCTCTGGGGCACCGTGTGTTGCAGCTGTCATCATTCCCATGACCTCTGTGACAGTTTCTCCCAGACCCATCCCACGCAAGCCACCCAGTCCAATTTGAGCACTGCGCATCAGTGGCAACTCCCTCTCTCCCTTGGTAACGAAATCTTTGGAGCCACAGTTTGGACTTAAGGAAGAACTTCCCTGCAAAAAACACTGAGCGCAGGGCTAGGGAGTGGAGGCAGCTATGATGAGGACAGCCAAGGAGGTTAGGAAGCCCCTCTAGCAGCTTTCAAAACCCAGCGAGATATGTCATTGTCTTAGGCTTGAAATGGTCTGGGAGCAGCCAGGTCCGAGACTGAAGACAGGGGTGGACCCACTGAGTCCCAGAACACCCTAGCAGACGTCAGACCTCTCTTTGTTTAGGCGGGCGGCCTCACTCTTGCCTGTCCAGAGAAACTGCAGGCTTGCTTTAGAAGGAATATGTTTCCTTCCACAGGCTTGCTTCACTGCTAAGGAAAAAACAATCTAAAAATAACTGAAATGCAAACTGGAGCTGATGACAGATATTGGGAGAACAAGAAGAGGTGGGCAGTGTTGGGACCTCTCCCCCAGAGCCCGGCCCAGTCAGGACAGGAGAGAGGTGATGGTGTCACTGCTGGGTGCAGCCCTTCGGATACTCTGTTCGGGGTGCCTGCCCCTAGTAACTCACCTAAGCAGCATTACCCTAAGCTAGCCCACACTGTCCTTCTGTCCCCTGCCTACCCAAACTCCACCTATGCTCCCAGGCCCAGCTTGATTTCATCATTTCCTGAAGGCTTCTCCAATTCCCAAGCCTACACTGAACTCACATAGGCTGTGAGACTAGGAGCTTTTGGGGGCTTGGCCTAATGTTACAGGCTTAGTCTGTTTTCTGTTACTTAGAATACTTGAAAGTGAGTAATTTATAAGGGAGATAAATTTATTTTTTACAGTTATGGAGGCTGAGAATCCAAAGTCGAGGGACTTCATATGGTGAGGGCCTTCTTGCTGGTGGGACTCTGCAGAGTCTCCAGGTGGCACAAGGCATTGCATGGTTGGGGGCGCTGAATGCGGTTTCTCGGGTCTCCCTTCCTCTTTTTGTAAAGCCACCAGTTCCACTCCCATGATAACTCATTAATCCATTAAGCCATTTATCCTTAAATGGATTAATCCATTCATGAGAGCAGATCCCTCATGACCTAATCCCTCTTAAAGGTCCCACCTCTCAGTACCGCCACATTGAGGATTTTCTATCTTTCTTTCTTTCTTTCTTTCTTTCTTTCTTTCTTTCTTTCTTTTCGAGACGAAGTCTTGCTCTGTTGCCAGAGTGGAGTGCCGTGGCGCCATCTCGGCTTACTGCAACCTCCACCTCCAGGGTTCAAGCAATTCTCCTGCCTCAGCCTCCCAAGTAGCTGGGACTACAGGAGCGCGCCACCATGCCCAGCTAATTTTTGTATTTTTAGTAGAAAGGGGGTTTCACCATGTTGACCAGGATGGTCTCAATCTCTTGACCTCGTGATTCACCCGCCTCAGCCTCCCAAAGTGATGGGATTACAGATGTGAGCCACCATGCCCGGCCGAGGATTAAGTTTCAAAGTGAATTTTGGAGGAGGTATTCAAATCATAGCAGTCACCTAAATCTCTGAGGAGACAGAGATCCCCAAAGGATGCTCTTAGCAGCCCCTTAATACACACAACACCCAACTAGTGAGCTAAGGTTGGAAGCTGCCAGATTTGATTCTCCATTTTAGGTGTTCCTAGGCCCCACTGTGTCTCTTATTTGAGTGCCTATGACGAGGCCCCTGCTGTTCTGAGCACTAGGGATACAAGTGCATACTAAGCGAAGTCCCTGAACTGTGTGCTTGACATGCTGATAAGCAACACAGACAGACAGACCGATGACAACATATAAACCAGTAAATAGAATGTGTCAGATGGTGGTAAGTACTGTAGAGACAGATAGAGCTGGTGAAGTCGATAGGCCTGAAGGAAAGTAAAGGAGGGAGCCACGTGGATATCAAAGGGAAGAGCATTCCATTCAGGGTAACAGCCAGTGCAAAGGCTGAGAGGCAAGGGCAACTTTAGCATATTAAAGGGACATGCACAGAGTGACCAAAGAGGAGAAAGTAGGGAGATGATAGGAGGGAAGTATGATGGAGATCACCTAGGGCCTCACAGACATTGTAAGGACTGTGGCTTATACTTAGAGTGGGCTGGGAGCTGTTGGAACATTGGAGGGTTTCCAGCAGAGGAGGAACATGGTCTCAGCCTCTAAAGGATTAATCTGGCTGCTGTGTTGAGAATCACATCAGGAGCAGAGTGAGTTGGAAGAGAAACAAGGGTAGAAGCTGGAGAGAAGGAAGAGAAGGATACTGCAGTAATCCAGGTGACAAGTGATAGTGGCCCAGACCAGACTGGTAGCAGAGGAGGGGATAAAAGTTCAGGTATTTTGAAAGCACTTATGATCAGATTGCCGATCGTTTGGTGGAAGAATATGAGCAGAGAGGAGTCCAGGTTTCTAGCCTGAGCAACGAGTCCAGAAACACAGTGAGAGACTGTGGAAGGGGTGAGTTTAGGGACTGATATGGTTTGGCTGTGTCCCCACCCAAATCTCAACTTGAATTGCATCTCCCAGAATTCCCCCATGTTGTGGGAGGGGCCCAGGGGGAGGTAACTGAACCATGGGGGCCAGTCTTTCCCATTCTATTCTCGTGATAGTGAATAAGTCTCACGAGATCTGATGGGTTTATCAGGGGTTTCCACTTTTGCTTTTTCCTCATTTCCCTTGCCACCAATATGTAAGAAGTGCCTTTTGTCTCCCGCCATGATTCTGAGGCCTCTCCAGCCACGTGGAACTATAAGTCCAATTAAACCTTTTTCTTCCCAGTCTCGGGTATGTCTTTATCAGCAGTGTGAAAACGAACTAATACAGGGACATAGATGAGAATTTCAGTTTGGGATATGAATTGTAGCTTCATGAAGAAACTCAACTCATCCGTCTTGCTAGCTGAGGTCTATCGCTAACTTGGCAGGGAAGTTTTCCAGTGGAGCAGGACAGCAAATCAAAACCCTGTATAAAAAATGATCCTTGGCCAGGCTTGGTGGCTCACGCCTGTAATCCCAGCACTTTGGGAGGTCGAGGCGGGTGGATCACGAGGTCAGGAGATTGAGACTATCCCGGCTAACACGGTGAAACCCCATCTCTACTAAAAATACAAAAAATTAGCCGGGCGCGGTGGCGGGCGTCTGTAGTCCCAGCTACTGGGGGAGGCTGAGGCAGGAGAATGGCGTGAACCCGGGAGGCGGAGCTTGCAGTGAGCCGAGATCGCGCCACTGCACTCTAGCCTGAGCGACAGAGCGAAACTCTGTCTCAAAAAAAAAAGAAAAAAGAAATGATCCTTGACTGCAGAAAGACGTGTACATGAATGTTCATAGCTTTATTCACAAGAATAAAAAACCAGAGAGAGACTAAATGTCTATCAACAAGGAAATGGATAAACAAATGGTGGCATATTTATATAATGAAATACTACTCAGCGAGAAAGAGGAATCAACTACGAATACATTCAACAGTTTGGAAGAATCTCAAATCATACAGTTTGTACTCTTTTGTGTAAGGTTTCATGCTGGGCTCTCTGACATGTTTGGGTACTAGCTAAACATGGTGCAAAAATAAAAAATAATTAACCGGACATGGCAGTGTGCACCTATAGTCCCAGCTACTCAGGAGGCTGAGGTGGCAGGATCACTTGAGACCAGGAGGTTAAGGCTACAGTGAGCTATGATTGCACCACTACATTCCAGCCCAAGTGACAGAGCCAGACTCTGTCTCTAAATTAGAAAAAAAAAAAAAGAGAGAGAGAGAGAGACCCCTCCCTCCTTGAGTCCAGACCATGGGAAAACATGGGAATAAGCCACTGGGAGCCCTGGAGGCAAGTCCTCATCTCTGAGTGGGAACCAGAAGGGAAGATGAGATCGAACATGCCCTTTCTAATGACAGGGACTCACCAGGAGAGAATGAAAAATGGGGCACAATTGTAGTACCTCTCATCTCTCCTCCCTTGCCACCTCCTCCTGGGCACCAAGCTCTCATCAACCCCCCAACTCACATTGCCCAGGGCTCCTTCTTGGAAGGACTCCAGGCTCTTCTCCCAAATTACTCCAACTTCTTCCGGCTTTTCCCAGCTCTCTCTCTCCACTCCTCTCTAGTAGCTGCTGGGGAGGAATGAATCTGACAAATTCCATCTCTTTTGGGGTCAGGATAGGTTTGGCCAATAGGTTTTATCTCTAAGCAGCAACAGTAGTGCTATCAATGGCTTCCATTTATTGGGCACCTAATGTGTGTCTCATGCTAAATGCCCATCAGAGATTTTTCTGGGATTATTCCTTTTACATTACAGGGGCTGACTAGAGCACTCACTCTCTTGAGAGGGGTTATGAGGTCTTATCTGAAAAAGTCTTGTGATCAATGAGCACTGTCCTCATGGTTGTAGGAGAAGGCAGTGACAGCAGCCATGCTGGGTAGGGACCATGCCTCCCCCTGAGAGAGGCAGAGTAGGGCAAGGTGAGGCTGCCTGCATTTTAAAGAGAGCTCTACATTGGGAAAGGTTAAGCTGTTCTGATTTTCAACGGACAAACTCACTTGAGTTGCTCAGGATTTGTGGGACCACATGTGTAGCAGATACTGCTTTGAGCTCTTACCACTTCCAAATACCAGTACCTGGGATTATTTTTGTCAAAGAGCTTTCTCTGGCCACCTGACCCTGTTCTGTCCATATGTAACCAGGACTTAACATCCTACCCCAGAAGTCCTCAACTAATGATCAATGGGAATTGGCGTATAAATACCCCAGCTCCCTCACTGCCTTCTCTTCCCAGTCTCACTTCCTCACTCTTCTACTGGAGATCCTAGGTTCACTTCACAAATAAGCTACTTGTACTCCAATCCTTGTCTCAGGATCTGCTCCCAGTGGGAGGCAGGTAAGAGTCCACCTTCAGTGAGGCCAGCCCTGCCAAGTGAGTGGTCATCCGGAAGGCCCACTCCAAGCCTGGCCTCTTCTCAGTAGCTTAAGCTACTGGAACATGATAGAGCCTTTGGGCTGCTCAATCAGAAACCATCTCTATTCCCAGGCACTCAAACTAGAAGACCTAAAAAGCAAACTTACTTTCCCTTAAATCTTCCCTCACCACCTAGGGACTCCTCCAGGGTGGCTGTCAAGGCCTCTTGACAGAGCGCAGAGATGACACATAAGTTCCATTTCAAGTGCCACCTCTGATCAATTAAGAGAAGCTACCAGGCTTCTGTATCCAGGCTTGGGGTATGCAGATATAATCAGTAATGTCTGCCTTTAACACTGGAACGGGTGAGCAGTGGCCTTCTGTCTGCCCCCACCGCCATGTCTCTAGAAGCAAATGAGTTCCTTCATGGTGAAGATGGCTCAATTTTTCATTCACATTCCAGAGATTGCAAAGCTATCTCTGTCTCTTGCTGAGCTACTTTCTTCATCTACTTGCCCCTTCCCAGACAGCAAGCCTATGCAGTGAGCATGGCCACCCATTTTATGGATGAGAAAACTGAGGTTCTGAGATGTTAAGTGGCTTTCACAGCATCACAGAATTTATAAGGATAAAACAGAGGTTTTTGAATCAGATCTATGTGACACCAAAGCCCCCACACTATATCTTTTCATAGAGAAGGCAGTAGTAAAGATCTGTAACCAAACGGAACAGCTCAACACTCCTCCTTTTTGTTAAGAGAAGAAGCCTTCTGCTGACTGGCGCAACCACCCCCCTCCACCATCCTTCATTGTCTTCTCTAGCCAGGTGGGATGGAAGGTTCTTTGGGGGCCAATGAGGAGCCTTGCCCCATCATGCAGCTGCCCCCAGCACTTTCTCTGCCAGGCCTGGGCACCACCATCTCTGCTGCAAACTCTCGTGTCCCCACAGGGGGCCCCTTGCTCTCATTCATTCACTGTCCCTGAGCAGCTGTGTCTCAGAGAGGGCTGGAGGCCCCCTGGGAAAGCTGGAGGCGAAATTCTAACTAGAGCAGCCATGACTGGGGCACTTCTAAACCTCCAAGTTCTGGAAAAACCCAACAGAGGCCTTCCCAGGGTGGTGACACAGCACTCGCACAGGCGGAGGCTGCAAATGGAGGCCTCAGAGTGCAGCCTAGATTTGAAGCCCACCGACCAGGCAGCCTGCCCACCAGGATTTGGCTCATGCTCTCTCCCAAGCAGCAGCTCAGGCCTTCGAGCACATTCCCATTGCTGCGAATCTGCACCCCTGCCCCAGAAAGCAGCGACTCCCTGCTCTGAGAATCCTTGGGGATGGGACTCATAGATTCAGCCTTTCCCAGCCACAGGTGTAGCCCTCAACCTCCCCTTGCCCTCCCTGGGTAGAGGCTCCTAGCCTGTGGCTGGTGCTGTTCTGTGGAATGAGGCAAGAAAGAAGTGGGCAAGCAAAGAAGGAAGGGGGCAAACCCAAGAGACCTTCCAAAAGGCGGGGAGTCTTCCCTCTCTGCAACCAGGAACCCCTCCCCAGGGAGGTCCTCACCCCTGTCAGCTACGGACAATGCGAAGATCCTGTGGGACACCTTTGAAGGCAGCTAGACCTGGGTTTACATTCCTCACTCACAGGTGTCTTAGGTCCTATTCTTTAGACTCAGAGCCCAGGATGAGGATTTGTGGAATCCCTGTGATTTATGGAGGAAATGATCTCAGGAGAAAGGGATGGAGGGAAGCAGGATGTGGCAGAGGAAGATGTTCAGCAGGGGCGTGGCCTCAGTCCAGCCTGGCCTCAGCCCAATCCACCGGGAGCTCTGGGTGTAAGCTGTCCACAGAATTGCCCCCTGAGATAAGCAGGACAGGCTTTTGTACCCTTGTGTCAGTCAGTCGTTGTCCATCCCTGGATGATGGGAGAAGGGAACATGAGTCACTAGGTCCTGGACAAGGACAATCCCATTGCCAGCGGAATCCTCCATGAAAGTTCTCAGATGTAAGTTGTTAGCCACTGCACCGTCACCAGCTGGGGAGGGGGACACTAGCTGGGAAAAGGGATCTAGATAGGGCACCAACATCACCTGTCACATCGCGTAAGATTCAGTTAACTCGTCTGTGAAACAAGCATGACACTTACCAAACAGATGTGTTGGGAGGGTCCACCTGAATCAGGCAAAGCACAAGGCCCCCAACACAAGGCAGGGCCTCAGGGAGCTACTGTTCGTACTGCTTGGCGAAGTCGTTTTAATAAGGAGGTTAGTTTTATGTATCAACTTGGCTGGGCCACAGAGCCCAGATATTTGATCAAACATTATTCTGGATTTTTCTCTGAGGCTGTTTTGATGAGATTAACATTTAAATCAGTAGAGTTTGAGTAAGGCAGATTGCCCTCCATAATGTGGGTGGGCCTCATCCAATCAGCTGAAGGCCTGAATAGAGCAAGGCTGACCTACCCTCATCCCCACCCTGAGCAAGAGAGAGTTCTACCTGCAGAGGGTTTTTCAGACTGGATCTGCAACATCGGCTCTTCCCTGGGTCTCCAGCTTGCCAGCCTACTCTGCAGATTTTGGACTTGCTGGCTTCCATAGTTGTATGAAGCAATTCCTTAAAATTAGTCTCTCTCTCTCTCATTATGTATTTATTCTACTGGTTCTGCTTCTCTGGGGAAATCTAATACAGAGGGAAAGAACACCAAGAGGTGGGTAGCCCAGGGCTCATGACATTGGCCCAAGGGCATGTTCCTATGCACCATCCAACTATGCTTGTAGGAAGTTCGTAATCCCCTCATTCACTACTTGTTCTAAAGTTGAATTCTTGGGAATCAAAATAGATCCCCACTCTGCCAGTGTAGCCTGGCATCCACCTGGGGAGTTTGCTCTCCAAATAGCCCCTTCAGGAACGTACCTTGTACCCAGGCACTGCCCACCAGTCCCCACCAGCCCTATCTCTCTGCAGCCTTCCTGTCCTAGCCTAAGATGGTAGGGACACAGAAGGGTGGGTCCCGGGGATGGAGGGAAGACCCAAAAGGGCGGCAGTTGCCAGAGCTCACCACTCCTGCCTACTCCCGGTAATCTCACCAGGGTGCTGAGGACTCAGGGCCATCTCAGGGGAACAGGGGGAATGTGAGCACCCTCAAATATCTCCCCCTCAATGAGCTCAGCTCCAAAATATTCTGTCCTTTCTTCCTGCAATGAGGGCTCCCAACCCTTCCATCCACCACCAGGACTAACAAATGCACCATTATGCCCCACCCTCGCACTCACAAAGTCAGCACATTAGACAGGGGGCAATAGTGACCCCACAGGAAGACACACTTAGAGGGGACTCCAGGTAGTTGGCTGGTGGAGGATATATTCTTAGGCTGTGAGCTTCCTAGTGTTTTTTAAATAGCTTTGCCGATATAAGTTATTATCTATTATCTATGTGACCTGAGAAACAAGGAAGTTCTCAGGAGTGTCTCGTCACCTCTTTTGGCTACTAGCAAAAGGCTCTGCACCCAAAAGGATCAAAAGAAAAATGTCTGAGCCAGTAGCTGCATCCCAGCTCTGTGAAAGGAAGGGGAAACCACATTACCTGAGTACCTACCTCCTATGAATGGGACTTTAAATATGGTGTTTTGTCAAATGCTTCTCACAACCACCCTGGGAGGGAGGGTAGGTATACGCATTTTAGAGATGAGGAAGGGGGCTGAGTCATTTCCACAAGGACACAGGACACTTCACTGGTGAAGTCAGAACCCAGCTCATTATGTGGCATCCAGTCCAAGGAAGGGGCATAATCAACCAGCAGCACCTCAGAAGAGGGTGTCCTGAGTATCTCATTGGACAGTTTGTCTCTGCCACTATCCAGGTGACACAGGCACTGGGCCCCTGGCTCATTAGAGTTCTCATTAGGACTTATCTTGTCAACTTTCCAGTTTATACATCAAGCTCCTAGAACTTTGGCAAATGGGAGTCAAGCCCTGGGAGTAAGTCATTGACTTCTGGGCATGCCAAGGCCTAAATTTTTTTAATTTTTTTAAACTCCTTAAATTGAAATATAATTTACATAGCTTAAGTGTACAGCTCAATAAATTTTTATTTATGTCTGACATCTATCAGACTAGTTTTGTCTCTTCTTGAATTTCATAAAATAGTGTCACATAGTAGGACTACAAATAGCCAGGGCCAAACAAAGGTAGTCTTTCATTCATATTATTGCTTGTATCAGCAATTTATCCTTTCTGTTGCCGAGTAGTGTTCCATTGTGTGAATGTACTCTAATCTGTTTGTCAATTCTCCTGTGGATGGGACCTTAGAGTTGTGTCCAGTTTGGGACTATTAAAAATAAAGATGCTTGAAACATTCTAGTACATGCGTTTCAGCTTTCAGTAGACTAACCACTAATTTCTTTAAGTTATATTCCTAGGAGAGGAGTTGATGGAATTGTGAGGTGGACAGGAGGGGACTGGGCCTTTCAGTCCTACTGTTCGTAGGTAAAGTGGGTGATATGGGTTGAATCATGTCCCCCAAAAAGATATGTTGAAGACTTAATCCCTGATACCTACAAACATGACTTTCCTTGGAAACAGGGTCTTGACAGATATAATCAAATGAAGAGAAGGTCATTAGGGTGGACTGTAATCCAATATGATTGGTGTCCTTATAAGAAGGAAATTGGACCCAGACACACACAGAAGAGAGAGCCACGTGAGACAGAGACACGCAAGGAGCATGCCACATGACAACAAAGGCAGAGCTTGGAGTGATGCTGCCGCAAGCCAAGGAACGCCACTCCAGAAACTCAGAGAAAAGCACAGAATAGGCCAGGTGCAGTGGGTCATGCCTGTAATCCCAGCACTTTGGGAGGCTGAGGCAGACAGATCACCTGAGTTCAGGAGTTTGAGACCAGCCTGGCCAACACGATGAAACCCCATCTCTACTAAAAATACAAAAAAAAATTAGCTGGGTGTGGTGACAGACGCCTGTAATCCCAGCTACTTGGGAGCATGAAGCAAGAGAATCGCTTGAACCCAGGAGGTGGAGGTTGCAGTGAGCTGAGATTGTGCCATTGCACTCCAACCTGGGCAACAGAGCAAGACTCTGTCTCAGGAAAAAAAAAAAAAAAAAAAAAGAGCATGGAATAGATTCTCTCTTAGAGCCCGGTTCTGCCAACACCTTGATCTCAGACTTCTAGCTTCCTGAACTGCGGGAGGATAAATATCTGTTGTTTCTGTCCACCCAGTGTATGGTACTTTGTCATGGCAGCCCTAGAAAATTAATGCAGTGAGTTTATTAGATATTGCCCCACGGTTTGCCAGAGTGCAAACCACTACATTTTTTCAGGGAAATCTGTGGATTGGATTCAGGAGGTTGGTGGCCACACCCACATACTGCCCTCCTGGGGATCTGCTTAAGCAGCCACCTGCTCTTTCCCAGGCAAATCCTTCTCTAAACCACCACCCTTGCCCTAATGCAGAAATAAAGGACTAGGGAGGGTTAGGAACTTGCCCAAGGTCACACAGCTGGCAAGCGGTGAGGCCAAGACTTGAACTCAAGTAGACCGATTCTCAAGCCCAGATGTTTATGACACTTGGGCTCTGAAAAGGATCCCCACCTGACACCACCCAAGCAGGCAGCTGGCGGGCACCTCCTCCCAGCCCCATCCCTGCTGGCTCGCCTCCCACTCCATGCTATGAGTCAGAGCAACCAGAGACTTTATGAGCCCAGGAATGGGCCAACTACCTGATAACCTGATTATGCAAAAAGCCACATGTGAAATTCCCGCCCTCATAACCACGTAATTTACAAGGAAATGAGTCCACCTTCTCCCCAGCCTTTGGCTGCCTGCCCTTCATGAAGGCTCAGTGGAGCTTTTCAGGCCAAAGTAGGAAAACAAAGAAGAAGGGCTCTATCCTGGCCCCCCTCCTGGTCTCTGAGAGCCCCCAACACTCGTCAGTCCACCTCCCAGACTGGAGTGCAGTGGTGCGATCACAGCTTACTGCAGCCTCACCTCCAGGGCTCAAGCCAGCCTCCCAGGTACAGGTGCGTGCCATCACAGCGGTTAGTTTCTATATTTTTAGTAGAGACAGGGTTTTGCCATGTTGCTAAGGCTGGTCTTGAACTCCTGGGCTCAAGTGATCTGCCTGCCTTGGCCTCCCAAAGTGCTGGGATTACAGGTGTGAGCCTCCGTGCCCAGCCTCCTTTCTGTCTTGGCCTCTGCATATTCCTCCAGGCAGTGGGGACCCGAGGAGTGGGAGGCTGGAAGGAGATTTGAAAAGGAGAATCAGGGACAGCCAAAGGGAAAAGGGAGAGAAGAGGATGCTGAAATTAAGAGATCAATAGCGGGGGACTGGGCCTTTCACCTCCTACTACTCAGAAGCTTGGCCTGAGACAAAACTCACCAAATGAAATAGCAAGTCTGTCCCCTGTGTCCTGGAACACCAGACCCAACAGTGAGGCTGGGTCCAGAGTGGGATGATGGCCACTGCTGACCAGTCCACAAGGCAGCTATCCAGCCCCTTTTAACGATCTCCTCTAGCTTTTAGGGTGAGAGCTTCTCATTTTTCTCAGATTCTCTCCAACCTCTGCCTCTATCATTGTTTCTTCTTTCCCTGTGCTCCTTAGGAGCATTTACCATGTGTCAGACATGGTGCTGGGGACAGAGAAATGAGTGAGGCCACACACAGTCCCTGCCTCCTGGAGTCTACAATTAAGTCTTCCATTTTCCTCTTTTTCCTGAATGCCAATGCTCCCTGTGGTTCAGTCTGCAGCATTCGTGTCCTCTCTCTCTCTCTCGCTTTCTCTTCTGAAAGCAAATATTTTTCCCTCTTTTTCTTTTTATGATCTTTGTTTTTAAAAAAGAAATTTAATGGATAAGTTAAATTTCCTCTTTCTCCCAGAGTTCATCATTCTCCTGATTAGTAAGAATATAGCACCTACTATGTGCCAGGCACCTGACACACATTAACTCATTTAATGCTTCAAACAAAGCAGGTAGGCACTATTGCACCATTACTTGCTCCCAGTACCTCCTTCTCCTGCTGCCCTTGCTCTGGATCACTGTGGGTGGTGTATACTTTCCCTACCCCACTGGAATGTGGGTGGAAGCAATATGCCAGTTCTGGGCCAAAGACTCAAGAAGGCATCATGTGCTTTCAGCAGCCACCCATGCATGTGACCTCTGCCCTGAAAAGAACAAGCCCTGGATAGTTGCTGGTGGAGACACGTGGAGCAGACATGAACCTAAGCCACTTCCTGGAGCCCAGTCCAGCAGAGCCACAGCCAACTCACAGGCTTGTGGATAGAAAATAACTGCTTGTGGTTGAAAGCCACTGAGCTTAGGGGTTGTTTGTTACACAGCATTAGGGCAGCAATTGCTGGCTGATACAATTGGCATTTCCCATTTAACACATAAGCAAGCTGAGGCCTGCAGAGGTTAAATAACTTCTCCAAGATTATACAGCTAGTAAGAAAAGGAACTAGGATGCAAATCCAAGCAATCTGGCTGCAAGTCCCACTACTCTATATTGAGTATTAGCATTCCCAAGCATGCTGTTACACTTTTACTATATATGTGTGTGTTTGTGTATGTGTGTATATATGTTTACTATGTTACATACATATATGTTTACTATATATACACAGATATATACATACATAAATGCATATATACATATATACACATATATATGTAAACGTATTGTTTTGCGTGTCTTTAAACTTTATATAAATGGCAACATTAGGCCCGGCACGGTGGCTCAAGCTTGTAATCCAGCAGCTTAGGGGGCCAAGGCAGGTTGATCACTTGAGGTCGGGAGTTTAAGACCAGCCTGGCCAACATAGTGAAACCCTGTCTCTACTAAAAATACAAAAATTAGCCGGGCATGGTGGTGCACGCCTGTAGTCCCAGCTACTTAGGAGGCTGAGGCAGGAGAATCACTTGAACCTGGGAGGCGGAGATTGCAGTGAGCCGAGATCATGCCACTGCACTCCAGCCTGGGCGACAGAGCAAGACTCAGTCTCAAAAATAAATAAATAAATAATACATAAATAAATGGCAACATTATATATATCATTTGGTAGCATGCTTTTTTCACTCAACATCATGCTTTTAGAGTTATCTCTGATGATACTCATAAATCTTGTTTATTTTACCTGCTGTATTCCATTACGTGAATAGATCCAACTTCCTATAAGATGCACATTTCATTTATTTCCAGCTTTTGTTTTTTCAAATTATGCTGCAATGAACATTCCTTGTCTCCTCATGCACATGCAAAGTTTCTCTTGGGTATGTGACTGGAAGTGGAATTGCTGGGTCACAGGCCATGTGTGTCTTCCTCTCTATACAATATTAGCAAATTGCTTTCTAAAGTTTTATTCCAATCTATAGCAGGGTGTGAGATTATCTGCTACTCCACATCCTTGCTATAGTAGAGGATACTGGTGCCCCACACAGATCCCCTTAACAGGCTGGTCCACCCCTGGCCCAGCTGCTGCATGTGTCAGCTGCTAAGGGCTCCCAGAAATCCCCTTGCTGGAGAATCACGCTTGGTCATGGGAGTCCCCCGTCTTGTAACCCCTGCATGATTCCAGGCCCACAGTGGACCTCTATTTATCTGTTTTGAATGGGATCCAAAGGGTAGAAAGAAGAGAGGGAAGCAAGAGAAAGATGCCGCAGTCCCCCTCTTCTTGCCTGGAGCCTCCCAAGCTCCAAGGCAAAGGAAGACAAGGGGAGAGGAAGAGGAGGAAGGAAGAAATGAAGGAATGGCTCCAAGGAGGCGGACAGTAGGGAATATACATTTCAAAGCCTATCCCCTGGGCAGGTGGGCTGGAGAGTGGAAATGGGCAAGCCTCCCCGGGCAGGTGATATCGAAAACCCCGTGTCATCCCCTGCTGGGGAAAGCTGATTCTGCCTCCATCATCCTCTTGCTGACTTACTCCTTCATCTCCTTGCCTTTCTATGCCTGTGACACCTAATTCCCTGAGTCCATTCATTCACCTTGTTTGTTCACTGTATGCATCTCCAGAGAATGTTGTCCCATGCAAAGTAGCAGTTCATTGTTTATTGAGAGAATTAAATGATGAAATTCACTTGGTACCCACAGGATTTTTAATAGGAGACAAAAGGCTTTATAGAAGTTCCAAATTAATAATTTTTCCCCAAGTGTTACCAAACCCTCCATTTATACTCATTGCCCACAGGCACTTCCAATTATGAAACCATAGCCCATTTTCCATCACAAACCTAGTTTCTCTCTTTTTCCTCTCCCTGCTCACAGAGCCCTGCTCCCTCCTGTCGTTCTCTGCGATCCTAGTGCCCTGGGACAGGCTCCACCCGCCCTCTGGGCTGACTGCAGCTCCAGGCCGCACTCCCTTTCGGCTTCATGTGCACATTCTTGGCAGCCATTAAAACTCCTCTCTGAAACCACAGGCTCCACCCTCACCCTGCCTCTCTGCGGCCCTACCTCAGCCAAGGACTTCCTCAGAAGTAGACCCACCCCCCTGTCTTCTCCAAGCTGCTGTCACTGTCACCATCATCTCACTTCCTCTACCTCCTTCCCCCAGACACACACGCACATGCACACAAACACACACAGTCACGCATACACACACCACATGCTATGTAACCACTGAAATATGTCTTCCTCTGTATTTCTGCATTTTAGTTTATAGCCCCTTGTACCACCTTCCCCTTCTCACAGCACTGGCTTCCTCTGGGCAGATGTTGCCAACTCAGAGCCCCTTTTATTCTGAACCCTGGACCATGGGCATGTGGTGGACAGAATAATGATACCCTTCAAGATGCCCACATCCTAATCTCCAGAAGCTGTGAGTATATTACCTCACATGGCACAAGGGACTTTATGATGTGATGTGTTTAAGAATCTCAAGAGCCTGTAATACCAGCCAAGGCGGGCGGATCACTTGAGGTCAGTTCAAGACCAACCTGGGCAACATGGTGAAACCCAGTCTCCGCCAAAAAATACAAAAATTAGTCGGGCATTGTGGCACATGCCTGTAGTCCCCAGCTACTCGGGAGGATGAGGCAGGGGAATCACTTGAACCCGGGAGGCGGAGGTTGCAGTGAGCCGAGATCATGCCACTGCACTCCAGCCTGGGCGACAGAGCAAGACTCCATCTCAAAAAAAAAAAAAAAAAAAGGAGTGGGAAGGCCAGCACAGACAGAACCACCTTTGTGCTTTGGAGAATGCCCTCAGGCAAAGAGATGTAGTTTCTAGTTACAGAGCACACTGTAGTCATGAGTCCCACGTACTGAGGTGGGTACACGTTCAGTCAGCAGTGCCTCCCTCCAGAAAGGAGGCATCCCCCTACCCTTGGCCTCCATACCTTTCCTGCCCAGAGTGGAAAGATGATGGGCTCTGGGTTCTAATTCTGACACCTGAGTAGGAGTCTGTGGAACCCCATCTCAGTCTGGGTTTGTCTAGTGTTTTATCATGATGAGATTGATGTAAGAGATGATACTGTGCTCAACTCAAGGCATCACATCAGGGAGTACCTAATGTCAGTATCAATTATTACTAGTAATACTAACCTTGATCACTTGATTAGGGTGGTATTTACCGGATTTCTCCACTTTTATATTTTTTCCTTCTTAAAACGTT
Source organism: Homo sapiens (assembly GCF_000001405.40). Taxonomy (NCBI): domain Eukaryota; kingdom Metazoa; phylum Chordata; class Mammalia; order Primates; family Hominidae; genus Homo; species Homo sapiens. The sequence goes on along the minus strand of NC_000020.11, from coordinate 4,037,085 downwards.
TTTAAAATTTATTTATTTTAAATTTTGTTTTATTCTTTATAACAATAGAGATGAAGTCTCACTCTATTGACCAGGCTGGTCTCAAACTCCTGATCTCAAGCAATCCTCCCATCTCAGCCTCCCCATGTGCTAGAATTACAGGCATAAGCCACTACACCCAGCCATTTTTTCCTTTATAATTAATAAAAATACTTTTAGCAACTATCAGTGAATCTTACTGCAACCATTATTACTATAGGTTTGCCTAATGGTGCTTTTCTATTTCCCTCATTTTTAAACCTAGTTTTAAATTCTTTTACACTGCAGTTTCCTCATTTGTAAATGGGGATGATCATTATACCTACCTCACAGGGTCACTACGGGATTAATTAACACATATGAAAGTGTATGGCACATCACAGGTGCTTAGTCAACGTGCTTCTTTTCCCAGCATCACTCAGGGGAAGACCTGGTTCATCAGCCGCCTGCCTCAGACTCTTTGCCTGCCCTGCTTCCCTTGTTCATTGGTCCTCTCCAAGCCCTGAGGGGGATGCTTAACGTCCACTGGAAGGGATTCCAGAGTAAAGCGTCCACACCCACACCACAGGGAGCAGAACATCTCCCCGATGAGTAAACGAGAGAGTGGTCCTGTGGCTGATAGTGCCCTCTCACCTGATGGGCAAAGTCAAAGATAATCTGTCAAAGGAGGAAGCTATCCTTGACTTAGCACAACACAGAGACCAAGAGAAGAGATGGAGGAAAGAAAAGACTTCTCAGGAACTGGCCTCCAGCCTCAGCTTCCCAAGTAGCTGGGACTACAGGCATGATTGCCCAGCTAATTTTTTTTTTTTTTGTATTTTTTGTAGAAACAAGTTTGCTGGGCAACCAGCAAGTTGCCCAGGCTGGTCTTGAACTCCTGAGCTCAAAGCAGTCCACCTGCCTCGGCCTTCCAAAATGCTGGGATTACAGGTGTGAGCCACTGCTCCCAGCCAAAGTAAGATATTTTGAGAGAGACAGAGAGAGAGGATATTCACATAACTTTTATTACAGTGCTATATCAATAGGCTAAAAAATAATAATCCTATAATCATATCAATTGATACAGAATAAAGCATTTCACAAAATCCAACACTCATTTATGATTTTTTAAGAAGTCAATTTTTTAAATTGGGAAACCAACATAATAAATCTAAACTTATTGAAAAATGAAATCAGTAACTAATCTTCTCTGTTTCATTCCAACTTTAGTATATATGCTTCCAAAGTAAGAACTCATTTACGATTTTTTTTTTTTTTTTTTTTTTTTTTACAGCTATCACGGGTGATTTTAATTTTCAACTTTAGGCTTCCATTTTCAAATTCCACAATGAACACATAAGGTGGAGTTCTGGTTTCAACACACACACACACACACACACACACACACACTCCTGCCTCCTAGTGGGCAGAGATTTTTGTTCACAAAGAATCTTCTGCCAAATGCCTCCGAGGTACACGTAGGTCTTGGGGAGCCCATGGGCCAACTGTTTTGTGGGCACTCCTGTCTTCGGTAGGCAGGTTCTTCAGAGCTTTGAGACCTCCACAACCTTGCGCTGCTCTCCTGGGGCAGCCTTCATGCAGGGGTGTCCTGAGGACTTCCCAGGGCACCCAACTTCAGCACTGTCATCCAGTGTGCGTTTCACGGAACTTTTTTTCCCAGGAGAAATAACTTTATTTGAACTGAGAGCTGGAGAATGAGACAAGGACTTGAGACAGCATGAGTAGAGGTGAGGTTCCAAAACGGCAGTCAGAGCTCATCCACCAAACAGACTCCACTTTCCCAGCAACCTTGCAGTTAGTGCCACCAACAAAAGGTCCACTGGGAAATATATTTGCCACAAAATTACCCAAGTATGCCAACATTACAAAAAAGATACAGATTTTTCATCGTAATTAAATTTCCACAAAACCCCCAAATCACAAGTGTTTTGTTTTTTTTTTTTGAGACGGAGTTTTGCTTTTTTCGCCCAGGCTGTAGTGCAGTGGCACAATCTCGGCTCACAGCAACCTCTGCCTCCCAGGTTCAAGCAATTCTCCTGCCTCAGTCTCCCAAGTAGCCGGGACTACAGTCGCCCAAAACCACATTGTGGGGAAAAGAAAGAGAGATCAGATTGTTACTGTGTCTGTGTAGAAAGAAGTAGACATAGGAGACTCCATTTTGTTCCCTACTAAGAAAAATTCTTCTGCCCTGAGATGCTGCCAATCTGTAACCCTTCCCCCAACCCTGTGCTCCCCGAAACATGCGCTGTGTCAACTCAGGGCCAAATGGATCAAGGGCTGTGCAGGGTGTGCTTTGTTAAACAAATGCTTGAAGGCAGCATGCTTGTTAAGAGTCATCACCACTCCCCAATCTCAAACCACTCCCCAATCTCAAGTACCCAGAGACACAAAACACTGCAGAAGGCCGCAGGGACCTCTGCCCAGGAAAGCCAGGCACCGTCCAAGGTTTCTCCCCATGTGAGAGTCTGAAATATGGCCTTGTGGGAAGGGAAAGACCTGACCGTCCCCCAGCCCGACACCCGACACCCGTAAAAGGTCTGTGCTGAGGAGGATTAGTAAAAGAGGAAGGAACGCCTTTTTGCAGTTGAGATAAGAGGAAGGCTTCTGTCTCCTGCTCATCCCTGGGCAATGGAATGTCTGGGTGTAAAGCTGATTGTATATTCCATCTACTGAGATAGGAGAAAACCGCCTTAGGGCTGGAGGTGGGACATGCTGGCAGCAATACTGTTCCTTAAGGCAATGAGATGTTTATGTATATGCACATCAAAAGCACAGCACTTTTTTCTTTACCTTGTTTATGGTGCAGAGACATTTGTTCACGTGTTTACCTTCTGACCTCCCCACCATTATCCTATTATCCTGTCACGCCCGATAATGAGCAATAAATACTAAGGGAACGCAGCAGCCGGGGCTGGCGTGGATCCTCCATATGCTGAATGCCTGTCCCCTGGGCCCCTTTTTCTTTTTTTTTTTTTTTTTTTTTTTTTTATTGATCATTCTTGGGTGTTTCTCGCAGAGGGGGATTTGGCAGGGTCATAGGACAATAGTGGAGGGAAGGTCAGCAGATAAACAAGTGAACAAAGGTCTCTGGTTTTCCTAGGCAGAGGACCCCGCGGCCCTCCGCAGTGTCTGTGTCCCTGGGTACTTAAGATTAGGGAGTGGTGATGACTCTCAACCAGCACGCTGCATCTGTTTAACAAAGCATCTGTTTAACAAAGCACATCCTGCACCGCCCCCAATCCATTTAACCCTGAGTGGACACAGCACATGCTTCAGAGAGCACAGGGTTGGGGATAAGGTCACAGATCAACAGGATCCCAAGGCAGAAGAATTTCTCTTAGTACAGAACAAAATGAAAAGTCTCCCATGTCTACTTCCATCCACACAGACCCGGCAACCATCCGATTTCTCAATTTTTTCCCCACCCTTCCCGCCTTTCTATTCCACAAAACCGCCATTGTCATCATGGCCCATCCCCAATGAGCCGCTGGGCACACCTCCCAGACGGGGTCGTGGCCGGGCAGAGGGGCTCCTCACTTCCCAGTAGGGGCGGCCGGGCAGAAGCGCCCCTCACCTCCCGGATGGGGCGGCTGGCCGGGCGGGGGGCTGACCCCCCCACTACCCTCCCGGACGGGGCGGCTGGCCAGGCAGAGGGGCTCCTCACTTCCCAGTAGGGGCGGCCGGGCAGAGGCGCCCCTCACCTCCTGGATAGGGCGGCTGGCCGGGCGGGGGGCTGTCCCCCCCACCTCCCTCCCGGACGGGGCGGCTGGCCGGGCAGAGGGGTCCTCACTTCCCAGTAGGGGCGGCCAGGCAGAGGCGCCCCTCACCTCCCGGACAGGCGGCGGCCGGAAAGGGGGCTGACCCCCCCCCCACCTCCCTCCCGGACGGGGCGGCTGGCCGGGCAGGGGGCTGACCCCCCCTCCCCCCTCCCGGACGGGGCGGCTGGCCGGGCGGGGGGCTGACCCCCCCACCTCCCTCCCGGATGGGGCGGCTGGCCAGGCGGGGGGCTGACCCCCCCACCTCCCTCCCGGGCGGGGCAGCTGGCCGGGCAGAGGGGCTCCTCACTTCCCAGTAGGGGCGGCCGGGCAGAGGCGCCCCTCACCTCCCGGACGGGGCAGCCGGCCGGGCGGGGGGCTGACCCCCCCACCTCCCTCCCGGACGGGGCGGCTGGCCGGGCAGAGGGGTCCTCACTTCCCAGTAGGGGCGGCCGGGCAGAGGCGCCCCTCACCTCCCGGACGGGGCGGCCGGCCGGGCGGGGGGCTGACCCCCCCACCTCCCTCCCGGACGGGGCGGCTGGCCGACCCCCCCCCCCACCTCCCTCCCGGACGGGGTGGCTGCCGGGCGGAGACGCTCCTCACTTCCCAGACGGGGTGGTTGCCGGACGGAGGGGCTCCTCACTTCTCAGACGGGGCGGTTGCCAGGCAGAGGGTTTCCTCACTTCTCAGACGGAGCGGCGGGGCAGAGACGCTCCTCACCTCCCAGACAGGGTTGCGGCCCAGCAGAGGCGCTCCTCACATCCCAGACAGGGCGGTGGGGCAGAGGTGCTCCCCACATCTCAGACGATGGGCGGCCGGGCAGAGACGCTCCTCAGTTCCTAGATGGGATGGCAGCCGGGAAGAGGCGCTCCTCGCTTCCTAGATGGGATGGCGGCCGGGCAGAGACGCTCCTCGCTTCCTAGATGGGATGGCGGCCGGGCAGAGACGCTCCTCACTTTCCAGACTGGGCAGCCAGGCAGAGGGGCTCCTCATATCCCAGACGATGGGTGGCCAAGCAGAGACGCTCCTCACTTCCCAGACGGGGTGGCGGCCGGGCAGAGGCTGCAATCTCGGCTCTTTGGGAGGCCAAGGCAGGCGGCTGGGAGGTGGTTGTAGCGAGCCGAGATCACGCCGCTGCACTCCAGCCTGGACACCACTGAGCACTGAGTGAACGAGACTTCATCTGCAATCCCGGCACCTCGGGAGGCCGAGGCTGGCGGATCACTCGCGGTTAGGAGCTGGAGAGCAGCCCGGCCAACACAGCGAAACCCCGTCTCCACCAAAAAAAAACCGAAAACCAGTCAGGCGTGGCGGCGCGCGCCTGCAATCGCAGGCACTCGGCAGGCTGAGGCAGGAGAATCAGGCAGGGAGGTTGCAGTGAGCCGAGATGGCAGCAGTACCGTCCAGCTTTGGCTCGGCATCAGAGGGGGGCGGGGGAGGGAGAGGGAGCTCATTTACGATTTTTAAAAACTCAGCAAGTTAGGAATACAGGGGAACTATCTCAATGTGATTAAAAAAGCATCTACAAAACCTATAACTAACATCATACATATTGGTGAAAGACTGAATGCGTTCCACCTAAAATCAGGAACAAAGCAAGGATGTCTGCTCTAACCACTCTTACTCAACATATTAGTGGAAATTCTAGCCAGTGCAGTAAGACATGAAAAAATGCATACAGGTTATAAAGGAAGAAATGAAACTGTCATTATTTGCAGAAGATATGAGGATCTACATTGAAAATTTCAAGAAAATTCCCACCAAAAAAACCTCTTAGAACTAATAAATGAGTTTATTCACAACGCACAACATCAGCATACAGTTTTATATGCTGGCATTGAACATACAGAAACTGAAATTTAAAACCCAATAACGTTTTCAATCACTCAAAAAAAAAAAAAGAAAAACCTAGGAACAAATCTAACAAAACATATATAGGATCTGTATGATAAAAATCGCAAATGCTGGTAAAAGAAATTAAAGATCTAAATAAATGGCTAAACATACCTTGTTTACATTTTGGAAGAGTCAACATAATAAAGATATAAGTTTTCCCAAGATTTATCTCCAAGTTTAATACAATTCCTATCAAAACCCCCAGAAAGGGTTTTTATAGACACAGGCTAATTTATTCTAAAATTTATATTAAAAGGCATGGACCCTAGAATAGATATAGCAATTACGTAAAATAAGAATAAAGTAAGAGGAATTTCAAGAGTTATTATATAGCTACAGTAATCAAGACTGTGCAATATTGGCAAAGGGATAGACACACAGATCAATGGAACGGAATAGAGAATCCAGAAATAGATCCACACAAATAAGCCAACTGATTTTTTTACAATTTTTTTTTTTTGAGACAGGGTCTAACTCTGTTGCCCAGTCTGGAGTGCAGTGGCATGACCATGGCTCACCGTATCCTTGACCTGCTTGGCTTAAGCGATCTTCCCACCTCAGCCTCCTGAGTAGCTGGGACTACAGGCACACACCACCACACCTGGCTAATTTTGTTTATTTTTTATAGAGGTGAGGTCTCACTGTGTTACACAGGCTGGTCTGAAACCCCTGAGCTGAAGAGATCTTCATGTCTTGACCTCCCAAAGTGCTAGAATTACAGGTGTGAGCCCCCTGCCCAGTGCCAACGGATTTTTGACAAAGGTGCAAAAGCAATCCAGTGAAGGAAGGATAGCCTTTTCAACAAATTGTACTGTAACAATTGGACATCCAAGGGCAAAACAAAACAGTGAACTCCAACCAAAACGTGACAACTTATACAAAAATTAACTCAAAATGAAACATGAACTTAAATATAAATGCAAACATTTTAGGAAACAACTTAGGGGAAAATCTTCAGGATCTAGGGCTAAGCAAAGAGTTCTTAGGATTAACAGCAAAAGTGCAATCCACAAAAGGAAAATTGGATAATTTAAACTTCATCAAAACTTTTACTCTGTGAAAGACCCTTTAAGCTGATGAAAAGACAAGCCACAGACTGAAAGAAAATATTTGCAAACCACATGTTTAACAAAGAACTATTATCTAGAATACATACAGAGCTCTCAAAACTCAAGGGGAAAAAAAATCCCACAAATAATCCACTTAGAAAATAGGCAAAAGATATGACCAGCCATTTCACTAAATAGAATATACAGATGGCAAATAGAGATAAGAAAAAAAAAGTTCACCATCAGTAATTACGTGAGAAATGCAAAGTAAAAACTACAATCAGTTATTACTACACACCTATCAGAATAGCTAAAATAAAAAGTTATGACAATAACAAATGCTGGTGAGAATGCAGAGAAACCAGATCACTCATACATTGCTGGTGGCAATGTAAAATGGCACAGCCACTCTGGAAAACAATTTGGTAGTTTCTTACAAAACTAAACATGCAACTTCCATGTGACTTAGCAATTGCACTCGTGGACATTTATCCCAGAGAAATTATATTCACACAAAAACCCATATACAAATGTTCATCACTATCTTATTGTGTTGACTCTTTGTAACACTTAAAACTGGACATGATCCAGATACTCTTCAAAAGGTGAATGGTTAAACAAACTGTGGAACATCCATACCCTGTAATACTACTCAGCAATAAAAAGGAACAAACTACTGATTCGTGCAACAATTTGGATGAATCTCCAGGGAAGTAGTATGCTGAGTAAACAAAGCCAGTTCTCAAAGGTTGCATACAGCATGATTTCATTTATATAATATTTTGAAAGGACAAAATTATACAGATGGAGAACCCTCATTCATAGTTGCCAGTTAGGGAAAAGGCGGGTCGGGAGGGAGGATGCAGGTGTGATTATAAAAGGGCAAGGCTGGGCGCAGTGGCTCGCGCCTGTTATCCCAGCACTTTGGGAGGCTGAGGTGGGCAGATCACGAGGTCAGGGGTTTGAGACCAGCCTGGCCAACATGGCGAAACCCCGTCTCTACTAAAAATACAAAAAATCAGCGGGGTGTGGTGGCACGTGGCTGTAGTCCCAGCTACTTGGGGGGCCAAGGCAGGAGAATCGCTTGAACCTGGGAGGCAGAGGTTGCAGTGAGCCAAGACCATGCCACCGCACCCCAGCCTGGGCGACAGAGCGAGACTCCGTCTCAGAAAAATAAATAAATAAATAAATATAAATAAATTAAAGGACATCACAAAAGATCCTTGTGGTGATTGAACTATTTTTTATCTCAACTATGGTGGTGATTACACGAATCTATACATATGATAATTGCATAGAATTAAATACATGCATACACACAAGTCCTATAAAACTAGGGAAAATGGAATAAGATTGACGTTATCAGTGTCAATCTCCTGGCTATGATACTATGGTATAGTTATGCAAGATGTTACCATTGGGGGAAACTGGGTGAAGGCTATACAGAATTGTTCTGTATTATTTCTTATAACTTCATGTGAATCTACCATTGTCTCAAAATTAAAAGTAAATTTTAAAGAAAGTTCATTAGAAAGAAACCTAGAGGAATATAGGTGTAGACAATATAACGGATTTGAAAGAATGCATTTGAGAGCAAGCATTCACCCACATATACAGAATAAATCCCCAAACTCAGTAGTAAGGAGAGTCACATGATGGTGGATGTCTAAGGAAAAGAGCTTGGGCCGGGTGTGGTGGCTCATGCCTGTAATCCCAGCAGCACTTTGGGAGGCTGAGGTGGGCAGATAACTTGAGGTCAGGAGTTTGAGACCAGCCTGACTAACATGGTGAAATCCCCATCTCTACAAAAAAATACAAAAAGTAGCCAGGCATGGTAGTGGACACCTGTAATCCCAGCTACTCAGGAGGCTGAAGCAGGAGAATTGCTTGAACCTGGGAGGCAGAGGTTGCAGTGAGTCAAGATTGTGCTACTGCGCTCCAGCCTGGGCAACTCTGTCTTGAAAAGAAGGAAGGGAGGGAGGGAGGGAGGAAGGGAGGAGGAAGGAAGGGAGGAGGAAGGAGGGAGGGAGGGAGAGAGGGAGGGGAGGGGAGGAAGGGAAAGACAGAAGAAGAGAGAAAGACAGAGAGATGAGAGAGGGAGAAGGAAGGAAGGGAGGGAGGGAGGGAGGGAGGGGGAAAGAGAGAAGGAGAGAGATGAGAGAAAGAGAGAGGGAGAAGGAAGGAAGGAGAGAGAGAAAGAGAGGAAGGAAGGAAGGAAGGAAGGAAGGAAGGAAGGAAGGAAAGAAGGAAGAAACCCATTCAGGTTTGGGGGATGTAAGTACAGTGAGAACCCTGGATAGAGCTTAGGGTGGCAGTTAGACTCCCAAATAGAGATAGCTGTGTGCACATGAGGCAGGTTGAGACAGCCTTGCCAGGGCTGCCAAGAGCCAGCAAAGTGTGGAAGTAAAAGAATGAGTTGTGCACACCTGAGAATAACCCAAAAATAAAGAAGTGCCTTAGATAATCTACTAAGTTCCCCTGGCCCAGCACAGGACCTTGGAATACACTGGGCGTCAAGAGGCACACAGGAGCGGCAGCCAGCCCCCAAGGAATCACACAATCCTGGGTGTGGCTGGAGCCAGCGAGGATTTCTGTGAGCTGACTGCCAGAGACAGGATACAAAGAATACACTGTGAGCTGACTGCCAGAGACAGGATACAAAGAATACATCTCAGTGGTAAACTAAAAGCTTTACCACCATGCAATATATCCATGTAACAAAACTGCACTTGTACATTTTAGATGTATAAAAAATAAGTTAATCGCAGGGCGCAGTGGCTCATGCCTGTAATCCCAACACTTTGGGAAGCCGAGGTGGGTGGGTCACCTGAGATCAGGAGTTCGAGACCAGCCTGGCCAACATGGCGAAACCCCGTCTCTACTGAAAATACAAAAATTAGCCAGGCATGGTGGCATATGCCTGTAATCCCAGCTACTCGGGAGGCTGAGGCAGGAGAATTGCTTGAACCCAGGAGGCAAAGGTTGCTGTGAGCCAAGATCGCGCCACTGCGCTCCAGCCTGGGCAACAGAGCAAGACTCCATCTCAAAAAAAAAAAGTTAATTTAAATATTAAATTTTCTTTAAAGAAGCAAAGAGACCCAACTGATAACACAGATAAATTTAAAACATAACATTCTGGCTGGGCGCAGTGGCTCACGCATGTAATCCCAGCACTTTGGGAGGCCAAGGCAGGTGGATTGCATGAGCCCAGGAGTTTGAGACCAGCCTGGGCAACATGGCAAAACCCCATCTCTACAAAAAATAATACCAAAATTAGCCAGGCATGGTGGCGTGTGCCTCTGGTCCCAGCTACATGGGGATCCTTGAGCCCTGGAGGTCAAGGCTGCAGTGAGCCATAATTGTGCCACTGCTCTCCAACTTGGGCTACAGGGCAAGACCCTGCCTGGAAAAAAAAAAAAAAAAAAAAAAACAAAGACATAACTTTCTGAATAATAGAACCTAAACAAATCAATTATTCTCATTATTCACAAGTTGGATTTAGCTTCTGTTATATCCTTTGTCTTTGCTTGAATTGAGTTTTGTATTAATAATCGAGGGATTGAATATGGACTGTATGAGCTTGTGCTATTTAAACATTAAGTTTTACATGCAAAGCACCCTTGTAAACCATAAATACAGTGAAAATCTAAGATAAATGTTTTTAAAAGTGCTTTGCCCATCCTATATATGAAAAGTAGCCTTTAAAATTGGCCTATTGAGAAGAAATCCAGGACTTTTCTCTCTTTATCCAGCAGAATGAATTTAAGAATTTATAGTATATATTTGCTTCCCTTCACATACAACAATAAAAATATTTGGGTTGGGTTGGAAGCAGCTGACGCTGCCAGTGTCTTACACATCACCCTTGGCATTCGCCCCTGCACATGGAAAGCTGCTTAATGTGAACATCTGTTGCTTTCTGCCTGGGGGCTTTTATTTCTAGTCACAGGAACATGCTTGGTCTGTGCACAGGGCAAGCCAGAAGTGCTGGAGAGTGAAGGCCCTAAGAAGTAGCACTCAACCACTGATGGACAGGGAGTTGGTAGATAAAAATCCCAGCTTTTTCGCTCCTTGGGCTGGATAGAGCTGAGATGTGTGCTCTGCACTGGATCCCAGAGTCTCCAGCAGGGTGAGCTTGTTTCCCACAGTGGTAGCTTGCTTGCTGACATATCCTGTATTGGCTTCTTTCCCTTCCCTGTCTCACTCCGCTAACTGGTGCTTCCTGAGATCACCTCCCACATAAACTACTTGCACTTGAATTCTTGTCTTAGCATCTGCTTTGGGAGAGAACTGAAAACAAGATCAGTGGTAATTGCTGGTTAGTGCATAAAACTAAATGCACTGTGTTAAATGAAAGAAACCAGATCTGAAAGGCTTCATACTGTATGACTGCATTTATCTAACGTTCTAGAAAAGGTAAGACTATAGGGAGGGAGAAAAGGTCAGTGGTTGACAGGGTTAAGGGGGAGGCAAGAGGCTGACTGCAAAGGGGAGCTATGAGAGATTTTTGGGGGGTGATGCAACTGTTCTGTAGCATGACTGTGGAGGTAGTTACATGACTCTGCATTTTCAAAAGCCATATAACCGTATACAGTGCCATGAAGAATACATGTCACTAAGGCACAATAGCCTTAAAAATACATGTAATTCACTTAGCCTATCCTTGACATGTAGAGAGGATAATCCTGAGATCCAGGGAGGAAAAATGACATACCCAGATCTTATACCTACTTCAAGAGTAAGTCAGGACTAGAACCCAAGCCTCAACAGTATTAGGCCAGTCCTCTTTCCAACAGTATGTGGGATCTCTGTCCTTTATCTAATTTACCTCAAAAGTCTGTGCTTCTAACAAAAAGTGGCTATAAAGATGGCAATATGACAGTAGTCACTTTGGTGATGACAGTCTTTAACATATCTATCTCTTGAGTCTCTCTGCTCCAATCCTCCAAGTTTCATCATCTCAGCCTCATAGGGATTCCTCATCCCTCTCCCCTGTGTTGGATCTCCCATTTCCCACATGTTGTGTCTTTTTCTTTGGGTTACTCCCTTGGTTTGGTGGAGCACATCCTTAAATTACTTCCCAGAAAAGGAAACATGGGATGTGCATATCTGAAATTGTCTTCATTCCACTCATTTCTTGATTGTTTCACTGTATATAGAATTCTAGATTGGAAACAATTTTTCTTCAGAATTTTGAAGATATTACTCTAGTATTCTACCTTCCAGTGTTGCTGGAACAATTCCAGTGAAGAGAAGTCTGGAGCCATGCTGATTCTTAAGACTTAGTATATGACTTATTCTTTTATTTGTTCAAGCTTGTGGAATCATCTCTTTATCCTTAGGGCTGTGAAATTTCACAATTATGTGCCTTGGTTAAACTAGGCAAACGGTGAGCCCTTTTGACCTGGCAATTTATGTTTTTCAATTTGGGAAATTTTTCTTGAATTATCACATTGATGATTTCCTTCCCTCCTTTTCTGAAATGCTTGTTATTCAGATGTTAAACCTTTTGGACTATTCCCCCTACATTCCTCATCTTTTCTTTCCTGTTTTTCATTGTTTTGTCTTTCAGATCTATTTTCTGTGAGATATTCTAGACATTTTTCTCAAGCCATCCATTGAATTTTTCATTTCTGCTGTTGTGTGTATGTGTGTGTATGTGTGTGTGTTTATTTTAAAGCTTATTTTTTGTTTCTTGTCTCAAAATAGCATCTTATTCTTGTTTCATGGGTGTAATATCACCTCTTATTCTTTTTTTTTTTTTTTTTTTTTTTTTTTTTGCATCAGAAAGCCTTATTTCCATTTGGTCCAAGGCTTGTTAGGGTAGTTAAGAAAGCTGCCTATTGGCTGGAGGGAGAGGCTTAGGCAGAAGCCCTATTACTTTGCAAGGGGCCCTTCAGAAGTCGCTGGGCTCATAAGGCTCTTAGACGTGCTTGAGAGTGAGCCTTTCGAAGAGATACTCGCCCAGCCCAGCCTCTGGGCCTCCCAGCCTGTGGAGGTTCGTCAGGTGGTCACCCATCTTCTTGATGAGCTTCACTTCCTCATCTAGGAAGTGAGTCTCCAGGAAGTCACAGAGATGGGGGTCCATGTGGGCAGAATCCAGGGCATGAAGATCCAAAAGGGCCTGGTTCAGCTTTTTCTCCAGGGCCATGGCAGCTTTCATGGCATCTGGGGTTTTACCCCACTCATCTTCAGCTGGCTTCTTGATGTCCTGGAAGAGAGCGCGGCCGCCACGCTGGTTTTGCATCTTCAGGAGACGCTCGTAGCCCTCGCGCTTCTCCTCGGTCAATTCGCGGAAGAAGTGGCTCACGCCTTCCAGAGCCGCATCATCGCGGTCGAAATAGAAGCCCAGAGAGAGGTAGGTGTAGGAGGCCTGCAGGTACAAATTGACCAGGCTGTTGACGGCTGCCTCCACGTCGGTGGAATAATTTTGACGAATCTGGGAGCTCATGGTTGGTCGCCAAGAAGGAGCTAACGACAAAAACGGTGCTGGCAGGTCCCAGAAGCAGGAGATAGCCGAGAAGATGGTCCCGGAGGTTGCAAGTGGAGAGGAAATTGGAGGGCGGTCGGAGGCTGGAAGACCGTCCCCGGATCTGTTCCGTCCAAACACTGTTGAAGCAAGAGACAGACCCACTGGACCGCCGAACTGCCTATCACCTCTTATTCTTAAAAATAAATCTTGGTTTCCTCCAACTTGCCTTTTTCTGTTTATTTTAATTATTAGTTTGCTTGCTTGTTTTGACTTGTTTTTATTGTTATTTATTTTCTATCTTCCATGTTAGCAGCTTTCCTCAGATATTTGGTAATCTGGTAATCTACAGTAGATGTTATTGGTGTTCTGCCCATACCTTCAGCTGCTATAAATCTCGGTCATAAATAGACCAGAGCTGCCACTTTATCTAAAGAATTGTCCTCAAGTAGGAACTACCTTGCCTGGGAATTCATGGCTTCCTCCCTGGCAGCCCACAGCCAGTGATTGATCAATATATGGATACAAAAGCTGGCCCTCTTGCTTCAAGGTGAGATCAACCCTGTGGTGCAATTCATGCTCCAGGGCTCCCTGTGGGTCAGACTGAGGCTAGACTCCAGCCAAGACCACATCCTTGCTCAGTTCCTTTCCATGCTCTTTCTGGAGGTGGAAAAAGGAGCTTCTTCTGAGGGCCCGCCCGCAATAAATCGCATGCATCTGAATCTGCATCACAGCTTCTGTTTCTAGGGAACCTAAGACATAATCTTTAGCTCTCTGCTCTTGATTAAGAGTAAAGGACTATGAAAAACCCTGAGTGCAGGAACTGGGCTTGTCAACTGTGATTCACCGTAGGGAGACATGGATGGTCGTTTACTGGAAATCTGAATGCCAGTATCCTTCATTCTTTCCCTTTTGGCTGGTCAGAGTGCTCAGAGAAGAGAGGTGGAGAGTAGCTGCCAGTGATTTGGGAAGTGATCAGAGAAGAAAGCTGAGGTTCTCAGCATGCAGTGAGGAAATAGTCACTTAACGCCCCTGTTCTCCACATGCCACCTTTGTCCTCAGCCACGCCTGGTGCCCCAGCCCAGAGATCCTCCTTTTTACTCTCTCCGGAGGTGAAATCTCCAGCCCTCTGCCTGATGAGAGAGAGAAACCTGCTGCTCGGAGAGTGGAAGAGGGGAACTAAGATTTTAACTGCTTCCCAATCACCTTTCACCCAGTTATCCTGATTCTTTGGCTTGCCCAGTACCAGAGATATCTAGGACTGCCAATTCCCATTTTTTTTTCTGTTTTTCTTTCTTTCCCCACCCCCCCTTGGATTTTGCCATGAAAATAGGGCTACTCTTAACTTTCCCTGGGTTTCAGCTTTCTTGGGGCTGCTGAGTCGATTACCACTCACCCATCTGTTTTCTATCTTCCAACTTATTTTTCCCCCACTATTGTCTACTCTGTTCTCTCTGTCCTCATGAGTTTGTGTCTTTAAACAAAATCCCTTTATAATAGTTTTAGTGAGTTTTGGGAGGAGCAAAAGTAGATGGGTGGATTCAATGCACCATCTTAACCTGGAAAAAAACTCCAATGGTATTAGGGAGATGTCTCCTCCCTGCATTCCCCTCCTTGTGAGCCCCTTTGGATGACAGACAGGCAAGTGAGAAACTAAGTAATGGAACCAAAGGCCTGGGATGGAAGCCGTGTCTCCCCATGGACAATGCTGTTCCACTACAGAATCCAAGCTTCTTCCCTCAGTCATGGCCTGAGTCAGCCTTTGAGGGAATAAAGGGCTGGAGTCCAGATTATGATGGCGTAGGTTGGAAGGGTAGGAAGCCAAGAAAAACTAAGGAAGCCTGCCTGGAGGAAGCACTGCAGCAGCAGGAAAAGCAGAAGATACAGAGTCTCTTTATCTGCATGGTGTCCTTATCTCCCAAATGAGAGAATTCATCTCTTCCAACTCTGCATCTATGACTCTGTGGGGATAAAAGTCACTCCAGAAAGCCTGTCTGCTTTCTTGCCCTGTTCCTCTTTCCCGTCTGTTGCTTTGGGATGAGGTGATAATGATTGGGAACTATTTGGGTAGATTGGATAGGTTGAAATGGAGGAAAAAGAAAACCAGCATAGTTCCTTTTTCCTAGAATGAGTTATGGGCAAAGATATATCATTCCACTTTATTCCTTTCTCTTTAAAGCTCAGGCCTAACAGAACCTAGCAGAGAGAAAAGGCAGTGATATAATTGGCTGGGGGAAATTGGAGGGGCAGAAGCTGTGATGATGGTGGTAGCCAAATGGTGGTCACAGCTGTGGGGGTTGTGTAATCAATAACTGGAGGAGCTTAGCAGAGCGGCTTGCTTTGTTCCATAGATGTAACTTGAAAGTACCCTCTGGGAGGCTGAGCTGGGCAGATCACTCAAGGCCAGGATTTTGAGACCAGCCTGGCCAACATGGCAAAACCCTGTCTCTACTAAGAATACAAAATTTAGCTGGGCATGGTGGCACACGCCTGTAATCCCAACTATTCAGGAGGCTGAGGCACAAGAATCACTTGAACAACCAGGAGGCAGAGGTTGCAATGAGTCTAGATGGCGCCACTGCACTCCAGCCTGGGTGACAAGAGTGAGACTCTGTCTCAAAAAAAGAAAAGAAAAGAAAAGAGGGCCAGGCGCGGTGGCTCATGCCTGTAATCCCAGCACTTTGGGAGGCCAAGGCAGGTGGATCACGTGAGGTCGGGAGTTCAAGACCAGCCTGACCAACATGGAGAAACCCCGTCTCTACTAAAAAAATACAAAATTAGCCAGGCATGGTGGCGCATGCCTGTAATCCCAGCTACCTGAGAGGCTGAGGCAGGAGAATCTCTTGAACCCGGGAGGCGGAGGTTGCAGTGAGCTGAGATCATGCCACTGCACTCCTGCCTGGGCAACAAGAGCGAAACTCCGTCTCAAAAAAAAAAAGAAAAGAAAAGCAACCAAGACACTGAAGTCAGTGGAGAAATACTCTGGCCTCCTGGTCATCCAGGCAGACAATGCTGAGGGCTGTTCTACAAGGTTTCTCAGTGGACGCCAAGCCAGACTGAGCCTCAGTTGCCCATGGCAGTAACTGGCCCATCAGCATACCTTACTGTTGGCTTCTCTCCCTTTCACAGCTTGCTTTCCCCATTTCTTCACTCTTATTTCCTGGAATCACCTCCCAAGTAAATTACCTACATCCAAGCCCTTGTCTTAAGATCTGTTCTTGGGAGAATCCACGCTGAGATGGGTATCCTCCAATCTAAAAGTGAGTCTGAGCAGGTTGTTCCACCCCTGGGAAATAGTGCTTCCAGTCTCCTGCATGTGTGGCTGGTCTCAGCTAAAAAGCTCCCACATGAGATCTTGAGAACATTTATATTTTCAGGAGTTCTGGGTGATTGGGCTTGTGTGTGCCAGAAAGGCAACGGGGCTTGTTGGTGGCTGGGTAAACAGAATCCCAGGTTCCCACCTCCTTCGCTGGCTTGTGGGTGGACACACAGCCAGTCCTAAAGGTACCATGCACACAGAAACCTACGCTTTCTCCCCAACTCTTGCTGTTTCACAGTCTTGCACACACATTCTGCATTAAGAAGCAATTCCGGTGGCTCATGCCTGTAATTCCAGCACTTTGGGAGGCCGAGGCGGGTGGATCTTGAGGTCAGGAGTTCGAGACCAGCCTGGCCAAGATGGTGAAACCCTGTCTCTTCTAAAAATACAAAAATTAGCTGGGCGCAGTGGCAGGTGCCTGTAATCCCAACTACTCGGGAGGCTGAGGCAGGAGAATCACTTGAACCCAGGAGGCGGAGGTTACAGTGAGCCAAGATTGCACCACTGCACTCTAGCCTGGGCGACAGAGAGACTTCATCTAAAAAAAAAAAAAGAAGAAGCAATTCCACCCCTCCGTGGGCAGCGTCACGCCCCAGCAAGAGGTCCCCATGGGCTATGAGGAGGAGAGGGCCATTGGGAGGGATCAAGGCAGGAGGAGTCACTTTGGAATTCTTGGATGAAGAGGCTCGGGGAACACAGAACATCTCCTCCTCTACTGGCACAGTCCAACGGGTCAAAGCATTATATGATCAACCCTTAAAGGGGTCATTTAGAACTCTGAATAATTAAGCTTTCAAAGGATTGACCAGTGGGAGGGATGTTTTTCTGAAATCGTGCCATCTCAACAGATGGGGAGGATGGACAGAGGAATGGGGCTATAGGCAACCTTTGATTTCTAGCTTCTGTTTGAAAGACTGATTTTGTCTTGACCAGTCAGGCATTCATTCAACAAACTTGTATTGGGCACCTGATCCAAAGATGACTAAAACCAGCCCCTGTTCTCACTGTTCCAAAATTAGTCAGACGTTTGATTTAAAAGTAGTTGTGATTTCTTTTCCAGGAGTCTTGAAGGACTTCTGACCATATGGGTAGGGACAATTTTCTGAGATGGATTTGGGGTGAGGACATTGCTTAAAAGGAGGTATAAGGGCTGGGCGTGGTGGCTTACACCTGTAATCCCAGCAATTTCGGAGGCCGAGGCAGGTGGATCACCTCAGGTCAGGAGTTTGAGACAAGCCTGACCAACATGGAGAAACCCCGTCTCTACTAAAAATACAAAATTAGCTGGGCGTGGTGGCGCATGCCTGTAATCCCAGCTACTCAGGAGGCTGAGGCAGGAGAATTGCTTGAACCTGGGAGATGGAGGTTGCAGTGAGCCGAGATGGCGCCACTGTACTCCAGCCCAGGCAACAAGAGCGAAACTCCATCTCAAAAAAAAAAAAAAAAAAAAAAAAGAGGTATAAGGGAGGAGATGGGAGGGGACTGTGGGGAGGAAGGATAAAGAGAAAGAGGGGCATCCTCCGAAACTCCAAACAGTGAAGTCTTCCCTACCCTACCCCTACCCATCATGTGGAACAAGGAAAATGTTAGCTGCGAAGCCACCACTTCAAGTCCTAGCTGCCTGCTGTTTTGAGGTACCCACCTAAACCCTCCAGAGAAAGAATTGCCCACCCACACTCTCCCATCACTTGCATTTTGCCTAGACCAGTGGGGGCTGGGAGTGGTGGGGGGATGAGTAGACTCATGTGCATCACTAAGCAAAGAGGATCAGGGACTAGCAGGTGAACCTCCAGCCGGAAGCACCAGGAGGACAAAAACTGTGATTTCTTCCTTAAGGGGAACACGGGACAACCCGCTACAGGGGACAGAAGAGCAGGATCCTGCCATATGTTGTAGAAACTGTGAGGCCAGATTCCACCTGTCCAGTCCCAAAGGAAAACTTTCTCCTTGACCCTAAAAACCAGTTGGGCCAGTTGATGACACAGCAAAATTTTAATAAGATGAGTCTCCCTGAAAACAGCAACTGGACACGGCCCCTCCTCCTTCCGTTCATTCTCTCATTCTCTTTCCCACTCACCCCTAATTTTTTCAAGAACAAAAGACATGAAATGAGCCACTCCATCCTCTACCCTACAGCCTGATTGGACTAGTGAATTACTAGCCAAGCTTTCTAAACAAACAAACAAAACAGGTTTCCAAACGCAGGGCAGAGGAAGGAAGCCAAAATAAGGAAGAAGAAAGAAAAGGAGCTCAGCCTTTCCTTCTCCTGTGGAGCCTCCCCAGCCCACCAGGGAACATCACCTCCACCAATAGCCACAGCAGACCCACTATGTGCCAGTCACATATTAGGTCCTGGGAGATACTGATCCTGCTGATGAAGGACTCACATGCTGGTGTGGTAAGAAAATATGCAAATGAGCAGGGACCTTGGAGGGTGCCTAGTGCTGAGAGGGAAGTGGGTACAGGGCACAGGTGGGGATTCTCAAGGAAAGTCTGTCAATAAGTGGGGGCAGAAAAAAATACTTTATCAAAAATGACTTTGTAAATACTTTACTTTTTTTTAGAGCAGTTTTAAGTTTGCCACAAAAGTGAGAGGAATGTGCAGAGTTCCCAACTAGCCCTTCCCCCCTACACATACATAGCCCCCCCATTATAAACATTCTCCCACGGGAGCATTTATTACTATTGTTGGACCTACATTGGCACATCATTATCACCCAAAATCCATGTTTACATTAGAGTTTGCTGCTGGTATTATTCATTCTATGGATTTAGACAAATGTGTCATGACAGGTATCCACCATTATGGTATCATACACAGAGTATTTTCACTGCCCTAAAAAGCATCTGTGGATTTTCAGAGAAAAGAGCAACTTTTGCATGCTAGGTAAGTATTGCTTTCCTAGTAGGGGAACAGCAGGAAACAGCAGTCACCTTGGTGACTACTGAGGTGAAACACCATGGTGCTGTTCTGTAAATGGCTGGAAAATAAGGCTCAAGGAGCCAGATGGGGCAGGGAAAAAGAAAAAGACAGAAACACAGGCAGATTTGAATACCATGAGAATCGATTTGCATGAGAATGGATTGAGACTTCTGCAACAGCCCAGGGGAGAGATGAGGGGGCTGATTTAGAACAGTGAGAGGTTTGAGCAAAGCAAAGTTGAAAAGACCCTCCAGGTAACTGCTATGATTGACAGCAAGGAGGGCAGTGTTCCCCCAGCACAGCCCTGGCACAGGCAGCTCTAGAGGAAGCCTGGGTCTCCCACTCCCTTCCTTTTGCCACAGTCTCCCTAGCACATGCCTCCACCCTTCTCTCACTTTGGGGGACTGTGACCATTGGGTGGCAGGTGACTTCTTGAGAAATTCACTAATGTTTCCCTCTTTACTTCCTCCCTGCCTTGGTGGTTAATGGTTTGCCAAAGCAGAAGGAACATGCCTCTAGGCGCTTGCCATGATGACTTTTGCTTCCCAAAGTTAAGCTACTGAGCTGTTTATGGTTTATGTGATGGGGCCTGAGAGATTAGGAGAAGGAAGGAGAACTTCTGGGGGACACATGGAGACTGAGGAAGAGGGGGCAATCATTTTTGCAAGCTCTGAGCTGCAGCGCACACACAGTCAGCTGTGGAGCTTCACAGCCATTCCCTCTGCAGGCTCCTAGCCTCTCCAGAAACTTCCGTACCCCAGGAGTGGCAGACACAAGGCGATGGGAACAAGAGAGTATCTGCAGAATACACTGCCTGCTAAAGACAAGAGAGGACTCCCCAGATCCTTGCCTTGGTATTGCAGGAAGAGCTCAGCCTCCCAAAATCGGAGGTCAATTTATTGCCTGCCCTGTAGAATGGGAGCCGGAGGTTGAGGAGTGGATGTAAATAAAGGAATGCACTGTTTCTTGCACACACCTCTCTCCACTATCTGGGCAGAGTCTAGGTCTCATCCATCACCAAGGTTCTAGCACTCAGCTGAGAGGCTGCAGCAGGAGGGGCAGATGGAGGAGGGTGCGGTGCATACCATCTCCCCATCAAACCAATGGGCACCACGTGACCATTCTTGTGTCTCTGGGGACTGTCAATCTGCATGCTAGGAAAGGGGTGGCATTCCAATCTTTCATTTTTTTGTGTGTGAGACGGAGTCTTGCTCTGTCACCCAGGCTGGAGTGCAATGGTGCGATCTTGGCTCACTGCAACCTCCGCTCCCCGGGTTCAAGAGATTTTCCTGCCTTAGCCTCCCGAGTAGCTGGGATTACAGGCATGAGCCACCACACCCAGCTAATTTTGTATTTTTAGTAGAGACAGAGTTTCTCTATGTTGGTCAGGCTGGTCTGGAACTCCTGACCTCAGGTGATCCACCCGCCTTGGCCTCCCAAAGTGTTGGGATTACAGGCGTGAGCCACTGCGCCCGGCCCCATGCTTTCACTTTTAAAAATGCTTGTAGGGCACGCAAAAATACTAAACGGTCGATGGAGAAGGTCTGTCTGGAGTAGTTGTTTTTTTTTTTTTTTTTTGAGACAGAGTCTCGCTCTGTCGCCCAGGCTGGTGTGCAGTGGCACGATCTCGGCTCACTGCAAGCTCCGCCTCCCAGGTTCAGGCGATTCTCCTGCCTCAGCCTCCCAAGTAGCTGGGACTACAGGCGCCCGCCACCACACCCGGCTAATTTAATTTTTTGTATTTTTAGTAGAGACGGGGTTTCATCGCGTTAGCCAAGATGGTCTCGATCTCCTGACCTCGTGATCTGCCCGCCTCAGCCTCCCAAAGTGCTGGGATTACAGGCGTGAGCCACCTCGCCCGGCCTGTCTGGCGTAGTTCTAACCAGGAACAGAGCCAGCGGCCAGGGCCGCACCAGGCCTGGCCAGGGAGCGCCGCGCCTGCGCACTGCAGACTCTGAAGCCGCCGAGCCCTCCGCCGAGGTGGGTGGGGAAACTGCCCGGGCATCCGGGTCCCTCACCCCGCCCCCGCTGCATGAATGAGAGGCGCGGCGCCCGCCCCTCCCCCGGCGGGCCCGCCCCTCGCGAGGGGCCGCCGGGCGCAGTCAGCCGCCGCCACCTCCGCCGCGCTCTGTCCGGACGGACGCTCGCCGCCCGCAGCCTGCCGCCCGCCGCAGGGCGCTGACGGTCCCGCACGTCTGCCGCTGCCACCGGCGCGCCCGAGTAAGTGAGCGAGCGAGGGCGGGAGCGCCGCG
Source organism: Homo sapiens (assembly GCF_000001405.40). Taxonomy (NCBI): domain Eukaryota; kingdom Metazoa; phylum Chordata; class Mammalia; order Primates; family Hominidae; genus Homo; species Homo sapiens. Next base: position 4,015,404 of record NC_000020.11, on the reverse strand, counting down.
GCCGCCGCCCCCGGGCTGGGGTTTGGGGGACCGAGCCGCTCCGGGTTCGGGATGCTGAGGAGACCGCGGGCCCGCGCCAGCCTCCCACACACACACACTCTCCCGGCGCCTCGGCCGGCCGGGCGCGGTGTGCAGGGGTGAGGCGGTGTCTCCAGGCTGAGGAGGGACGCGGAGGAGGGTCCGGCGCGGCCCCGGGACTGGAGGGTGAGTCCCTCACAAAGGGCGGAGCGGGGCTGTCACCTGGAGATCACGGAGGGAAGGTGCGTGGGCCCCCGCACGTCCTGCTCGCCCAAGCCCTGGCATCGGGTCCCCGGGCGTGGGAGGCGGCTGGGATGAGCTGGGAGGCTAGGAGGAGGATGGCGAGGACGCTGCCCCCGCGTTGGCGGTGGGCGCGCGCCTTGGGGGGTGCGGCGTGGCAGTGTTTTCCTGGTCCCCGTCCACTCCTCCCCTTTCTTTGTGGCGCTTGTCTCGTGCCCCGTTGTCACAGTGTGCATGGCAGTGGTCGGGGTGGAGACCTCTTCCCTCGGCTTACTCATTAATGAAAGTCACCATCTGTGGGCAGGGGGCGTGTGTGGTTCCACAGGCCGGAGAATTAAGGACCCTCCTTTGTTTCTGGAGACCTAATGATGTGTGTGTGTGTGTGTGTGTGTGTGTGTGTGTGTGTGCGCATTCAAGTGAAAGGGACATCTATGAAATGAGAGAATCAGAGATTGTCAAAAAGGGTATGAGGAAAAGGGGAGGGGATATAACTTCATCACACCTTTACCCAATTCTTTACCTGATGTTATTTCAAACAGTTTTTTCTCACTGTAAAACCAGTGGGTTTTATTCATTGGAAATGTGCATCTAAATTCTCATATATCTGTGTTTCTAGAATACTTTGCCTTTTTGGGCTTAGTTAATGGTAAGATTCTCATGTCTGTCTACATAGGAATACTCCACCGTACAGGACACTGCTTTCTGGGTTTAGTTCATTGATAATTTGTCCGAATGCTCATAAACATGTCTATAGGAATACTCCAATATATCTAGGACACAGTTTTCTCCGCTCCTGAATACAGGCAGATTTTGTTTCTTTCTGCCTCCCTGTGTTAATGAGAAGGTAGTCCAGCAGGTTCTCTCTACCTCCTTGCTTTTTTTTCCCCTTAATGCTTTGGCAGAGGGTTTTATTGCATATTACCCTGGCATGCGCCCTTGCTTTGATGTGAATTTTCCTGTGTTCTGTTGTCTGGTTGTACAGCCCAGCTCAATGGCTCCTCTTACAGGACTACTGGAAAACAGAACACCTTTTTTCATTGTCCTCATCTCCAGAGAGAGAAGGAAGCGCTGTAGGTTCCCACAAACGTTGACTCTGTCAGACTGCCTGCCTGACTTTGTTGTGTTGGTAAAGTTATGAAGAGTTGCAGTTGTTGTAGACCAATTAAAAAGAGGCTATTGGGATAACACCAGCTCTTCCTTGCTATTTTGGTTTTAAAACAAATGATATGAATTTTGCAAGATAGTTGTTAACTCTGGTTGCATGATGATTTTCAGTTTCTTTTTACCCATATACTTTTACAGGGTGTTGGGAAATTAGCCACTCATTTACAAGAAACACACCTCCAAGGTATTTTTATTATGGGTCGGGTGCGGTGGCTCACACCTGTAATCCCAGCACTTTGGGGGGCCGAGGTGGGTGGATCACCAGAGGTCAGAAGTTTGAGACCAGCCTGGCCAACATGGTGAAACCCTGTCTCTACTAAAAAAATACAAAAAATTAGCCGGGCATGGTGGCGAGCGCCTGTAATTCCAGCTACTCGGGAGGCTGAGGCAGGAGAATCGCTTGAACTCCCGGAGGCGGAGGTTGCAGTGAGCCTAGATCGCGCCATTGCATTCCAGCCTGGGCAACAAGAGCGAAACTCCGTCTGAAAAAAAAGCTATTTTTATTATGATCTTTGGATTCAAAATAGCGGTTTTAAAAAATTAAGAGGCGCTTATATTGGATGATATGAATAATTGTATGGGTTCTGTTTTCTTTAAGATTCTCTGTAATATTTTTAAAAATCACATGTATTTTAATTCCTAGTAGTTTTCAGTGGAAAATGAAATGTAAACTAAGCAGTCTTCCACAGCATCTGTTTATGTATATTCCCTCTGTTTAAAACATTTGCTTTTAATTTGAAGGGGAAATTTTCCATGGTCAGTTCAGGATACATTATTCTTAGTAAAATTCTTACCACGTTCAAATTCTTTTTTGTAAGAGTAAAAAAAAATTAATGAAAGTTGATTTTTCAATTGGGGATGTTTTGGTTTTAATGCATGATTTAAATAAAATCTTAATATCAATTAATTTAATTCAGATAAGTTAATTTAAAACAAGGCTTTTATGAAGGAAAAATGAAGCAGAAAAAAAAAAACAAGAGCTTTACTAACTAAAGTCACTAATGTTGAAGTAACCCAGTACATTTATAAACTGCCTGTCTTGACTGCATAAGACATTTTTTAGGAGTCTCCTTAAAACAAACCGTAAGGGGAAGTCTTAGATAAACAGAGTAGCATAACCGGAATTATCACTGAAATAAGCTTGCACAGTATCGCAATTTCATGGAAGTTTAATTTTGCAAGAGTGACTTAGCTATTTTTAATATCAACAAAGGAACCTAAACACAGCCTGGCCTTGTTATTCAGCATTCTGTTAATCAAAGTATTTGCCAACCCATAGTTTAGCATTCTGTAGTATGATGATTGAAGAAAAAATCTAAACTAACTTTTAGATCCTTAAAATAGATAAAATAATGTTAAGTGCTGTTTTAATAGTAAATATTTATTCATTAGAATAGTAATATTATGTTAGTGATGGTAAGAGCATAGATGGTAACACTTTGTTAACTAGGATCTATTATCCTCCCAGTAATGTCTCATAATAAAAAGTAATTTATTTTTCCATTGAGCATTCTCTATCAATAATTGCTTTTTTGTTTTTTGGGTGTTTTGTTGTTTTTTTTTTTTGAGATGGAGTCTCACCCTGTCCCCTAGGCTGGAGTGCAGTGGCGTGATCTCGGCTGACTGCAGCCTCCGTCTCCCAGGTTCAAGTGATTCTCATGCCTCAGCTTCCCGAATAGCTGGGAATACAGGCACTGGCCACCACGCCTGGCTAATTTTTTTTTGTATTTTTAGTAGAGACGGAGTTTTGCCATGTTGGCCAGACTGGTCTTGAGCTCCTGGCCTCAAGCCATCTGCCTGCCTTAGCCTCCCAAAGTGCTGTGATTATAGGTGTGAGCCACCGCGCCCGGCCAATAATTGTTTATTGTTTTAAATGGGAGTTTATTCTAAGATCAGTAATAATGCTATTACAATGTGTTAGCTTGAATCATATGAAATTGCCATGTTGAGACTGAGAAAAAATCAAAATCAGCAGTCTTATATATTATATAGTTAAACCACTCTCAACTCTTACTGGTTTCTTTTGGTATTTACCTTTATACTTATTTCATTTTTAATGTTTATACTGCTATTTCTTAGCTCTTCACTTTTGGATATTCTCTGTGGACTTCTATTTTGGAAGTTGAAGACTTAACTGTCTCACATAACTATCCTTCCATTTCCCACTCATACTTGACAGTTAGGTCGGTATTCAGGATTTATATGACTGACAGTGTACCTGTTATTCACAGTTGAGCCACGTAGGGTGCTATTACTGTGTTTTCTTCTTGAACAACTTTTGTTGCTCCTGAATTAAATAATTGCCTCTTTTGTTTGTTTGGTTTTCATTTGCTGAGTTTTCTTTGTATCAGTCACTAATTCATTCAAACTCTATGACAAAACTGATTATCTTTGAATATTCTCAGGTAGTCACTCACTTTCATATCTTTTCCCCAGGAGATGGTCCTGCTGGAGCCCCCTCTCTCCTACTCCAGTCTGGAATTGTTTGCTCCCTGGACTACTGCATAGCCATCATCCTGGGACTTCCCTTTGTCATCATCTTGGGAATTCCCTTTGCCTTCCTCCTGTGTTAGGTCTTCTATTTCCTGGACCCTGTGTCTTCCTTATTCTTGAGTAGCTTCCTGAGAAAGGGTACATACAAAATCTGAAATTCCTTCCTGAATTCAGAAGTTACATGTCTGGAAATGCCTTCATTTTACCTTCACTCTTGAATGGTAGTTTAGCTTGGTGTTAAAATCTGGATTGAAAATTAATGTGACTGTTTTGAAGACATTGTTCCATTAGCTTCCAGTGTCACTATTGAGAAGTCCAATGTCATTTTAATCCTCATTCCCTTTTTCTTCCCACTCTGAAAGATTTTAGGATCTTCAGTTTATCCCTGGTGTTCCTGACATTTCATGATGTACCTTGGAATAGATATTTTTCTTTACTTTTGCTTGTGGGGTAGATTGTATTTTCCAAAAAGGCTGTATATGTATGTGTGTGCATACTCCCCCCATCTCACCCAATATGCTATTCTTTGTGCCTCCATCAAGCAGTGGGGTCTTTGTTTCCTCCTCTTGAACCTGTGCAGACAGGAATTCTCCCCCGAACGTTTTGGATCTTGAGCATTGTGTTTTAAGAGCACAGCTGCAAGATCAAGAACATGCACCTGGCACTGCTAGGTGCCCAGCGCCATCAGGCCAGCATCTCCCTTCCCATTTTCCTTGTGACCACTGTTTAGGCATTGAGATTAAGCACTGTAGATGTGTATGTGTTCATTGAGAGAGGGGATTAAGTTTTTTTACTTTTAAATGAAATCAACAATGAAAATATCAATTGACATCAGAGAGAGTTTCTTTTAAGCAGTGAAATGAACCAACATGACGGCTGTCAGGTGCATTTTTTAAAAATCCACCTTAGGAAATGACAAAAAAAGAAATGACCAAAAAGAAACTAACTTGAGCTTCATGATTAAATATGTCATTATTAAATGTGACAAATATATTGTTTGCAAGAATTTCTGTGATGAGAAGATGGAAGCAAAAGGAGCTGCATAAATCACAGCTTCACAGAACATTGTCAGTATTTTTGTGTTTATCTCATGGATACATATTATTATTATTATTTTGAGATGGAGTCTCACTCTGTCACCTAGGCTGGAGTACAGTGGTGCAATCTCGGCTCACCACAACCTCTGCTTCCCGGGTTCAAGCAATTCTCCTGCCTCAGCCTCCCGAGTAGCTGGGACTACAGGCGTGCGCCACCATGTCCAGCTAATTTTTGTATTTCTGGTGGAGACGGGGTTTCACTATGTTGGTCAGGCTGGTCTCGAAATCCTGACCTCGTGATCTGCCTACCTCAGCCTCCCAAAGTGCTGGGATTGCAGGCATGAGCCACCGCATCTGGCCTTGTTTGTTTGTTTGTTTGTTTGTTTGTTTGTTTGTTTGTTTGTGACAGGGTCTCACTCTTTCACCCAGGCTGGAGTGCAGTGGCGTGATCTCGGCTCACTTCGACCTCTGCCTCCCAGGTTCAAGCGATTCTCCTGCCTCAGCCTCCCCAGTTGCTGGGATTACAGGTGCCCGCCACCATGCCTGGCTAATTTGGATACATATTTTTAAAACATCCTTTGTTTACTCTTTAAAAATTTTAAAATTAAAAACCCTTTTTTTTCTATTTATAGCTGCTTTATCATTCATTTGGCTTTTCCATGACACCACCCAAGTGGCTGGATATTACAAGAGAACTTCAGATTCATGACCAAAAATCCGAAGTAGACACTCAGCACTGCCCGGCAAAGCTACCATTGAATCTTAATAAGATCTTTTTGCCTATCACTATTTCATAACTTCTCTCCACTCCTTAAACTTATCAGCAACCCACCCCTCCTACTCAGATAAGCTGACCTCATAGTTCATTGAGGGTTTAGGAGATATCAGACAGAAACCACTCATCTTCCCCCCAACCAAATGTAGAAATCTGCCTTCCTTAGACCCATGTTTTCTGTCTCCTGTCGGAGGCAAGCTCCCCTTTCTACTGTGTTCCTCCTCACATCTTCTATACCTCATGCCCCCTCATATCTCACAGCTTTAGCATTTTTGCCCTCTCTCTTGCATCATCAGCAACTCTCCAGGGGGCTATCCATGTCAGCATACACATATGCCGTGACGTTGCCCATCTTTAAAATCAGAATAAGCTTCAGCAAACAACTTTTCCCTGACCCTCCTCTATCCCTTTCTATTTACCTACATGGTTAAGTCTCTCAAAAGAGAAGTTTACGTGCCTTCCCTACCTCCTCTATAGTACGTACCACCCTCTGAAATTCTGTTGTTTAATAATTTTTGTGTGACTTACCCCTAATAGAAGGTCAGCTCCAGGAAGGCAAGGACCTCATCTGTCCTGTTTACCACTCTGTCCCCTAGGACAGCAGGTGGCACAAGTGTCTACTCAGTACATGGGCAAAAGAGGCACAACTGACCTGGTAAAATAGCTTTTGATTTTTAAAAATTTCTAACAAGAGAATCCATGTTTTTTAATTACTCACCATTTTTTGCTACACTTAAGAATTGAAACAATTATGAAGAATATATTAATGATCAAATTTTGCCCTATGTTACATTTCATTCTTTCATAAGTATGACTTAATATTGGCAGTCTTGGGCCGGGCATGGTGGCTTATGCCTGTAATCCCAGCACTTTGGGAGGTCAAGGCGGGTGGATCATGAGGTCAGGAGTTCAAGACCAGCCTGGCCAAGATGGTGAAACCCCATCTTACTAAAAATACAACAAATTAGCCGGGTGTGGTGGCGGGTGCCTGTAATCCCAGTTACTCGGGAGGCTGAGACAGAGAATTGCTTGAACCTGGGAGGTGGAGGTTGCAGTGAGCCAAGATTGTGCCATTGCACTCCAGCCTGGGTGACAGAGCGAGACTCTGTCTCAAAAAAAAATATATATATATATAATATATATAAATAATATATATATAATATATAATATGTATAATATATATATTATATTATATTATATATTATACATATTATATATTATATATTATATATATTATACATATTATATATTATATATAATATATATATTATACATATTACATATATAATATATATATTATATATATAATATATATATTATACATATTACATGTATAATATATATATTATATATATAATATATATATATATTTGCAGTCTTGCACCTGGACTCTGGCATCAGACTGCTTGGAGTTGAATTCCAGCTCTTTCACTTTTTGCTATGTGACCTCCAGCAGGTTTCCTAACCTCTCTCTTTCTTCATTTGTAATGTGGTTAATAATAGTTCCTACCTCATGTGTTTGTTTTGTGTTCCAAATGAGATAATATGTAAAACACGAAACTCAGTACTCGTCTTGGGAGTAAACTCAATGAAAAATAATAGTAATTATTATAGCCTCCTCCAGTTTATAATATTTGACTCTGACTTGGTCTCTATAATATTTTTGTTCAAAATACTATATCTCCTAGGGTATATGGGCTATCAATATGATGATTCAGCTGTTCTTGGTTTTGTGGGGGGCGGGGGTGTGTTTGTTTTTAAGAGAGAGAGTCTTGTTCTGTCGCCCAGGCTGCAGTGCAGTGGTGTGATCTCCAACTCACTGCAGCCTTAACCTCCAGGGCTCAAACAATCCTCCCACCTCAACCTCCCAAGTAGCTGCGACCACAGGCACACACCAGCATGCCAGGCTAATTTTTTTTCTTTTTTTTTTTTTTTTTTTGTAGAGACAGGGTCTCACTATGTTGCCCAGGCTGGTCTCAAACTCCTGGGCTCAAGTGACCCTACCAGCACCTCCCAAAGTGCTAGGATTACAGGCAGGAGCCACCATGCCCAGCCAATAAATCATTTTGATCACTTGATAAAATATTTTTATTTCAAGCCAAGTCCTGTTCTTTGTTTATTTGGTTTTCTCAGAGGTGAGGTTCTTTCTTCATGTTATTCCACATTAAGTTTTCTTATTTCTGGAAATGGAGCTTTAAAAACACCCAATATATCATCAACAGATTTTTTTTTCTTTTGAAACAGCTATAAGACAATGTTCTTTTCATCTACTAGCTAGCTGGGAGGGTAAATATATGTAGCAGTACGAAGTATATTCTGAGGACCACATAAAAAATACAGACAGGCTCTGTAGAAGTTCAGGCTAGGGAGAGTCAGGTACTTCTAACCCTAAGGGATTCCTACAGCTTTTCTGCATGTTAAATAGTCTGTTTTAGCTTATTCTCTTATTACTTGTCTTGGTTTTTACTTTGAAAGTTTGCTTAATAATCATGGGAATATTTTAGATTTTAAAATACAAAATATACAAGCTAAACTTGAGAGCAGTTTTTAGTTGTAGAAACTGTTTCTTGAAGTAATTGACTTAGCGTTTGCTCTGCCTCTTTCTTTTCTTACCTAGGTAGGTAGTGGGGACTCCTTCAATTATCTGAGCAATTCAAATCTCAGAATGTAGTGTTGGGTAAATTGAGGGTTCTAAAAGAATGCCAGATGGTTTGAAAGGAACTGTGAGCATTCCAACTAGTGCAGTCCTTTGAAAGCCAGCTGGCAGAGCCTCCTGTGCTTTGGAGGTAGGAACCAGACACTTTGTTCCATGCCAGCTGGCCCAAGAATAGCTGGCCAGTGGCCTTGCTTTTGGCTGGCCACTCTTGGGAAAGCTGGCCTGGGCCCTCCATGTGCCCTAAGGATAGTCTGATACCAGAGAGTTGCACTGGCCCTCCATAGTACCCCAGGGAGTTGGAGAAAGCCTGCAGTGGCAAGGGAAAGGAAACTGCTATTTAGATAATGTTACAAGTGAACCTCGTGTTACAAATTTGCTCTGGAAATTTAATGTAATTTGAATTTTTATGGATTCACTACTGTTAGGTGTATTAAAGTTGCAATGAACTGTAGTGAATGTTTTTATATTGTAAGTAACTTCCAGGTTACCTGCTTTTAAAGTTCCTGTTTTTATTTGTCAACTTTTCTTAAAGTGAGGTTTGCCCGTTCCTTTTGTTGTCATCTTCTAAAGTTTTGATCATTTGAATTAGGAAAATTTTTCCATCTTGTTGTAAAGCTTGCTCCTGTGTAAACCATAGACTTTTTTTTTTTTTTGAGACAGAGACTTGCTCTGTCACCCAGGCTGGAGTGCAGTGGTGCTCTTTCTGCTCACCGCAACCTCTGCCTCCTGGGTTCAAGCGATTCTTCTGCCTCAGCCTCCCAAGTAGCTAGGATTACAGGCATGCGCCACCACACTCAGCTAATTTTTGTATTTTTAGTAGAGACAGGGTTTCACCATGTTGGCCAGGCTGGTCTTGACCTCAGGTGTTCTACCCGCCTCAGCCTCCTAGAGTGCGGGGATTACAAATGTGAGCCACCACACCTAGCCATAAACCATAGATTCTATAGAAGGTTAATTATGTATGTAGTCTTAGCTTGTCTCTCATTTTGATGGTACTTATGTTTTCCCGATTAGACAGGTGCTTGTATCAGATACAGTTCTTCACTTCCTTTAGCAGATTTAATATCATAATTGTTTAATTGACAGCAAAATAAGTGCAAATATCATACTGTAAGAATAATGAGCATTCAGTTCATTTGATGACAGTGTTTATTGAATTCTCAAAATTAATAGTTTCACTGCTGTCTATCAGTATGCTTTATGTTGCCTTAATTTTTTTTTCAAATGTGCAGATTGAATGGTGCTGCAGTATCTGTTAAGTTTATTAAGTTCATCTTGGCAAACCAAAAAAAA